>NC_000012.12:110793461-110944976 GCF_000001405.40 Homo sapiens
TGGCTAATTTTCGTATTTTTAGTAGAGATGGGGTCTCACCCTGTTGGTCAGGCTGGTCTCGAATGCCTGACCTCAAATGATCTGCCGACCTCTATCTCTGAAAGTGCTGGGATTATAGGCATGAGCCACTGCACCCAGCCTAGATTTTTTTTTCTATTTATAGACCAGTAATCATGTACATATCCAAATATATCCTAATATGTACAATATCCATCTGTATACTAACCTACACATGAGCAAATACATGCATATGCTAATATCCAATACAATTTTGTGTACTGAATGTAATTATCTCTCAAAAACGAGATCATCCTTTATGTAATATTCTACACTTTTCCATATCAATACATATCAAGAGATAAAGTATGATCCTGTTCATTCACACATGTATTAATTTACCAATCCAATCAACAAATACTTTTTTTGAAATTATCCAATATACTCAGCTATGTGTCACTGAAAGGATTTAAACAGTGGAGCAACATAAAGAGGAGAAATATAATCAACTTTCTTTTTTATTTATTTGTTTATTTTATTTATGTATTTTTTTGAGACAGAGTCTCACTCTGTCACTCAGGCTGGAGTGCAGTGGCAGGATCTTGGCTCACTGCAACCTCTGTCTCCTGGGTTCAAGTGATTGTCGTGCCTCAGCCTCCCAAGTAGCTGGGACTACAGGTGCCCGCCACCACTTCCAGCTAACTTTTGTATTTTTAGTAGAGATGAGGTTTCACCATGTTGGCCAGGCTGGTCTCGAACTCCTGACCTCAGGTGATTTGCCCCCCTTGGCCTCCCACAGTGCTGGGATTACAGGTGTGAACCACCACACTCAGCCAGGACTCTTTATTTTTCTATTAAAAAAATATTTATTAGGCCAGGCGTGGTGGCTCATGCCTGTAATCTAGCACTGTGGGAGGCCGAGGCAGGCAGATCACCTGTGGGCAACATAGCAGGATCCTGTCTCTACAAAAAATATAAAAATTAGCCAGGTGTGGTGGCGTGCACCATAGTCCCAGCTACTCGGGAGGCTGAGGTGTGAAGATCACCTGAGCCGGGGAGGTTGAGGCTGCAGTGAGCCATGATTATGCCACTGCACTCCAGCTTGAGTGACAGAGTGAGACCCTGTCGTAGGGAAAACAAACAAACAAACAAAAAAACCCAAATTAAAAAAAAATTCATCTTTCTTACTTCACAACATCTCTTAGAGACCAGTCCCATCAGTATATAAGGAGCATCTCATTCTTTTTTGCCACTGCACAATATTCCATGGAATTGATGGACATTTTCCGTTTCAAACCCAACCCAGCAGCCCGGGGTTGTGTAGTCCCTGCCAGACTTGTCTCTGCTCTTGGCCAGAGAACACATAGGTGGGCTGGGTGGGAGGCAGGGCTCTGAGGGTTGGCCAAGTTCCCCGGCCTGTCTGGGGATTCTTGGAGCTAGAGTTGAGGGACACATCTTCCTGCCTTCCCAATTCTTTGCCCCCGGGAGGCATCCTGTGGCCCCATCCTGTTCCCATTCTGTTATTTCAAGAAGCTGCCCTGGCTTATTTCTGGTCCTTTTCTCCCTTGTCTCTGTGGCCAACTGGGTCACCAGCTGGCCTCAGGGGCCTCCACCCACCCCACATCCGTTCTCGACCTCTCACCCACGCAGGCGTCCAGCTGTTCCACAGCTGTGTCAGAGCCCCCAGGCCTGTGTCCACATTCTCTGGGGCAGTTGCCAGGCAGTCAGGGTCACCCTTGGTCATGGGATAAAAGGACTCACTTAATGAGTACCTACTATGTGTGAGGTTGTCTGGTAGCCTTTTGCAGGTTTATGTTTAATTCTCGTAACAATCCTGCCAAATAGATATTCTTATTCCCATGTTATGGATAGGGAAACAGGCTCAGAGTCAGAGATGGGGAATGATGGGGGAGCCTGAATTTGAACCCACCCATTTTATGGATGGGGAAACAGGCTCAGAGAGCAGATGTCAGAGATGGGGAATGATGGGGGAGCCTGAATTTGAACCCACTGGTGCCAGAAGTCTTGGTTACCCTTGTACCCTTGGGGTTCCTGAGTCATTAAGCAGTAAGCCTCAGTAAATATATGCTGAATGAATGAATGAAAGAATGAGTTTGAGAGATATTTCCTGGGCAAGTCCTATATGTCAGGCACTGGTCTAGGGGCTAGAGATAGAGCAGTGACCAAACAGCTTTCTTGGCACTGAAATTCTAATGGGGAAGACAATCTAAATAAGTAAGCAAGCAAGCAAAAATAAGATGATGAGGCGGGGCGCAGTGGCTCACTCCTGTAATCCCAGACCTTTGGGAGGCCCAGGCAGGCGGATCACCTGGGGTCAGGAGTTGGAGAGCAGCCTGGCCAACATGTGAAACCTCATCTCTACTAAAAATACAAAAAATAGCTTGACGTGATTGTGCACGTCTGTAATCCCAGCTACTCGGGAGGCTGAGGCACGAGAATTGCTTGAACCCTGGAGGTGGAGGTTGCCATGAGCTGAGGTCACACCACGGCACTCCAGCCTGGGTGACAGAGAAAGACTGTCTAAAAAAAAATAAAAAAAAGATAGTAAGATAGTGACAGGCTCTACGGGAGAATTCTAATAAGATGGTGTAGTAGGCAGTAGCTGGGTGGGAGTGAGAGTGGGTGTGCCTCATTTATATAGGAATGGGGTCTCTAAAGAGGCGACTTTTGGACTGAGATCTAAATGGCAAGGTCAAGCCAGCTACACAAATAGGTAGGAGAGGGGAGAGGATTTCAGGTGAAAGGAACAGCACATGCAAAGGCCCTGAGGTCAGATGAAGCCTGGTGTGTATGGGGAACAGGGAGGATGCATGTGGCTAGCATAGAATACAGGAAAGGCTGAAAGTTCAAGATATAGGCCACAGCCAGATGAAACAAGTGTGTGGCAGCTGCATAAAAACTTGGAGAGGCTGTTGAGTGCAGTGGCTCACACCTGTAATCCCAGCACTTTGGGAGGCTGGGGTGGGAGGATGGCTTGGACCCAGGAGGTTGAGGCTACAATGAGCTGTGATTGCGCCACTGCACTCCAGCCTGGGTGACAGAGTGAGACCCTTTCTCTAAAAAAACAAAAAAAAAAAAACAAAAAAAAAGCCATAAAATACAAAATAAAATAAATTTTTAAATAAAAACGTGGAGCGCTTAAGCAGGAGAATCATGCTTTCTCAGGGTGCTGTGTGGAGAGTAGGCTGTGGTGTGGCAAGAGAGGGAGTAGGGAGCAGGTTGAGGAAGTTCCTGAAGTCACCCTGGTCTGAGAAGGCAGTGAGCTGGACCAAGGTGGGAGCCGTGGAGACAAAATAAAGATTGGGGAAATGTTTGGAAGGAGAGCCAATAAAATGACGATGAGTTATAGTTGGGGGATTCAAGAGAAGAATCAAGGTTAAATCCTTGGTTTCTGGCTCAAGCAACTGGGCAGATGTGATGGGGCCATTTATCGAGATGGGGAATATGAAGGAGTAGGTTTCAGTGAGGGTGGTTGGAGAGCGAGGAGGATGAAATGGAGACTCTCTATTCTGGACGTGGCAGGTTTGCTATGGCCATTGTACCTTCCGGCTGACATGTCAGTTAGCAGGTGGATAATGGTCAGGGACTTAAGGTGAAGGCAGGGGAGGAGACTGATGAGTCATCCTATGAGTGATCCTTAAAGTCTCAAGACTGAGGAGATTGGGCAGGGAGTGAGTGAAGACAGTCCCCTTCCGGAGACAGGAGAGTGATGAAGATGGTTGTCACTCAGGGTGGAGGGCTGGCTTCCAGAATGGTGACTCGGTCGTCCGGGCGAAGAGGCTTAGGCCTGTAATCCTAGCAGTTCAGGAGGCTGAGGCAGGCAGATTACCTGAGGTCAGGACTTTGAGACCAGCCTGGCCAACATGGTGAAACCCCATCTCTACTAAAAATACAAAAATTATCCGGGTGTGGTGGCGCATGCCTGTAATTCCAGCTACTTGGGAGGCTGAGGTGGGAGAATCGCTTGAACCTGGGAGGCAGAGGTTGCAGTGAGCTGAAATCGCACCACTGTACTCCAGCCCAGACGACAGAGCGAGACTCGGTCTCAAAAAAAAAAAAAAAAAAAGAATGGTAACTTGGGACATCCAACAGCTCAGGCTTCTACCCATACCCAGTGGGGCCTGGAGGGGCCCTGACTGGGGTCGCTGTGATATTCTGGAAGCTGGATCTTAGCCACTGTCCTCAGGGTCTTTGACCTTTTATTTCAATGCCCTCATTCTGAAGGGCCTGAGCTGGTCATGATCTGGACTTGCTATTTCCCTAACATCTTCCTCCTAGAACTTCAGAAGCCTGGCTGGGGTGCTCAGGAAGCTGCTGTTCTCCCCTAAGGGGCAGGAAACTGGGACAGCAGGTACCTCATTCAAGGTCACAAGGGTTAGGGCAGGGCTGCCTACAGAACTGAGGAGGCCAATCCCTCTTCCATCCATGCCCACATTGGTTTGACTTATCACCAGGCTTTTGTTGTGCCAAGTGGAGTATGAAAACAAAAAACTCCTCGGAATAATGAAGATGTTTAGCAAGGGAGGAGGGAGAGAAGACATCCTGGATAATACAGCTTAAGGAGAGAAGAGAAGTTTAATACAGAAATCTGAAGCCAGGTACTGTGCATGTACCTGTGGTTTCAGCTACTTGAGAGGCTGAGGTGGGAGGATCACTTGAGCCCAGGAGATTGAGGCTGCAGTGAGCTATGATCACACCATTGCACTCCAGCCTGGGTGACATGAGCAAGACCCTGTCTCTAACAAAAAAGAAAAGTTTGACAACATTTAGTTCATAATATGTGATGTAATTCCATATTAGTCCGTTTTCACACTGCTATAAAGATACTACCTGAGACTGGGTAATTTATAAACAAAAGAGGTTTAATTGACTTACAGTTCTGCATGGCTGGGGAGGCCTCAGGAAACTTACAATGAGGGTGGAAGGAGAGAGAGCACAGGGGAAATGCCAGACACTTATCAAACAACCAGATCTGTGAGAACTCCCTCTCTATCACGAGAACAGCATGGAGAAAACCACCCCTATGATCCAATCACCTCCCATCAGGTCCCTCACTCAACACGTGGGGATTACAATTGGAGATGAGATTTGGAAGGGGACACAGAGCCAAACCATATCAAATATCATCCTTGGTCTCCACTAGGAAACTTAAGCAAAAGTACTGTATGTCAATGCTTTAGGGGTCAGGTTTGTGGTTTGGGGGTGGAACAATGTGCTGAAACCAGTCCTTGGAAGATTCTGGAGTCTCAACTACATATGGGTTATGTCGGGAATAGTTGAGGAATGCCATGGGATGCTTTCTGCTCCAGATTGGAACTCCTGGAGATTGGGAAACACATGAGTCACTTCTGGGCCCCCACTAACCAGCACTGTGCATGAACAGAGTAGGGGGTTCAGGAATTGTTTGTGGAATGAATGAACGAATGAGGAGAGGAGTAGGTCCCAGGCATGAGCCACTGCACCCAGCCTTTTCTTTGTTTTTTTCTGAGGTAGAGTCTGGCTTTGTCACCCAGGCTGAAGTGCAGTGGCACTGTCTCCACTCACTGCAACCTCCACCTCCCGGGTCCAAGTGATTCTCATGCCTCAGCCACCCAAGTAGCTAGGACTACAGGTGTGTGCCACCACACCTGGCTAATTTTGGTATTTTTAGTAGAGATGGGGTTTTGCCATATTGGCCAGGCTGGTCTCAAACTCCTGTCCTCAGGTGATTCGCCTACCTTGGCTTTCCAAAGTGCTGGGATTACACGTGTGAGCTGTTGTGCCCAGCCCAAATTCTTCTTAGCTTTGACTCTCTCTGACCTCTTTTAAGGGCTTACTGGATTAGGTCAGGCCACTTGAGGCATTTTCCCTTTTGATTAACTCAGATTCAATTGATTAGGGACCTTAATTACATCTGCAAAATCTCTTCTGCTTTATAATGTAACATAATCGTAAGAGTGATAACCCACTATCTTCATAAGTCTTTTTTTTTTTTTTTTTTTGAGGCAGAGTCTTGCTCTGTCACCCAGGCTGGAGTGCAATGGCGCTATCTTGGCTCACTGCAAGCTCCGCCTTCTGGGTTCACGCCATTCTCCTGCCTCAGCCTCCTGAGTAGCTGGGACTACAGGCACCCGCCACTGTGCCTGGCTAATTTTTTTTTGTATTTTTAGTAGAGATGGGGTTTCACCAAGTTAGCCAGGATGGTCTCGATCTCCTGACCTCGTGATCCACCCGCCTCGGCCTCCCAAAGTGCTGGGATTACAGGCGTGAGCCACCACACCCGGCCCATAAGTCTTGACACACACAAAGGGAGGAAAGTATACAGGGTATGTACACCAGGAGGTGGGATCTTGGGAACTGTTTTAGAATTCTGCTTACTACAACAGTGTAGCACCCTTCCACACTGAATAGTGCTGACCTGTGTGACCAGATGGATATTGCAGAAATGATGGTGTGTGATTTCCAGGTCTGAGTCATAAAAGACATTATGGCTTCTATCTTGCTCTTTCTTTCTTGGATCACTTGCTCTGGGGAAATCCAGCTGCCATGTTGTGAGGATACTCAAGCAGCCCTGAAAATCACAAACGTACACACACAAAGAATTTATTTAAAAAACACATGTGGCCTCCATCACTTGGAGTCTGTCACTTGGAGCCTGGAACTCAGAACTATCATGGCACAACCACAGTCCAAAACCTTCACTCTCATGACTTATACGATTTAGACTCCAGAGAAAAGCTTCTCCACATCCCTTAGATTAGGTCCTCAAAATAACAACTGTGTCCTAATGCAGTGAAAGTTCATGGGTTGGGCTGCTGCCAATGTTGGAGATGAATGTGCTTATAGGGGGCAAGGATAATTTAAGAATTTGAGGCACTTAGATAAGAGCAAAGACCAGTGAATTAATTTACCAAATTCTCCCTCTCTGGCTGGGCGTGGTGGCTTATGCCTGCAATCCCAGCACTTTGGGAGGCCGAGGTGGGAGGATCACTTGAGGTCAGGAAGTCAAGACCAGCCTGGCCAACATGATAAAACCCTGTCTTTACTAAAAATACAAAAATTAGCTGCTGTGGTGTCATGTACTTGTAGTCCCAGCTACTCAGGGGGCTGAGGCATGAGAATTGCTTGAACTTAGGAGGCAGAGGTTGCAGTGAGCTGAGATTGCGCCACTGCACTCCAGACTGAGACAGCCTTCTTTCTGTGTTCCACTTTGTGGTTCTGGAAGTCCTCACACATTAGTGTAATCTTTGCACAACTGCACAAGACAACTGTAGGGGACACATTCTAAAATGCTCCCCAGTGATCCCTGCCTTCTAGCATTCACACCCCTGTGTAATCCTCTCTGCTGGAGTATGGGAGGGCCCTGGGACCTGCTCTTAGCATATAGAATGCAGCAAAGGTAATAGGATTTCACATCTGTGACTACATGGCAGAGGATTGTAACTGCTGTCTTACATGCAGACTCTTCCAATTGATGTTCTTCTTTGCTGGCTTTGATGAAGTAAGCCACCAGAGGAGTTGGCCCATGTGCTTAGAAACTGAGGGTGACTTCCAGCCAACAGCCAGCAAGAAACTGAGGCACTTAGTCTGACAGCCTGAACTGGATGCACAACAACTGTATGACCTTAGAAGCAGATCCTTCCCCAGGCGAGTCTCAGATGAGACCCCAGCCCTGGCTTGACACCTTGATTGCAGCCTTATGAGACCCTGCAGCAGAGGACCCAACTAAGCCATTTCTGGATTCCTGACCACAGAAATGGTGAGATAGTAAATAAACTGCCAAATTTATGGTAATTTGTTAGGCAGCAATATATAACTACCACAACAAGAGGATCATTTAGAAACATTAAACAAATTGGCTGGGTACAGTGGCCCACATCTGTAATCCCTGCACTTTGGGAGGCCAAAGTGGGCAGATTGCTTGAGTCCAGGAATTCAAGACCAGCCTGGGCAACATGGTGAAACTCCATCTCTACTAAAAATAGAAAAATTAGCTTGGCATGGTGGCAGGCACCTGTAATCCCAGCTACTCAGGAGGCTGAGGCAGGAGAATCACTTGAACCAGGGAGGTGGAGGTTGCAGTGAGTCAAGGTCGCACCACTGTACTCCAGCCTGGGTGACAGAGCGAGACTCCGTCTCATAAAAAAGAAATACATAAAAAAGAAAGTTAAATGCATTTTATTTGACAACTGTAAGCTTGATTTATCCCATGAAGATGTTTAGCTGGTGTGGTGGCATGTACTTGTGAACCTCCCTTCATACTCTTGTCCTGGGTCCTGTGGCTGTCAGGGCAGGCTGGCTCAAGCTTACTCACCTGGTAAATGGAGCTGAGATTCAAGCTTGGACCCCGAGGTCTGGGCTGTGTGAGATGGGACCCTGCCCTGGGTCAGCTCATCTTCCAGGTAGGAAGCTGCCACCTCAGGAAGCCGATGGGAACTGAAAGACTCTATGGTTAGAGGCAGGAGAACGACATAATTTGTGGGGCCATTTACAGAAAGAAAATGCATAGCCCCTTGTTTACCAATGACTAAGAATTTCCAAATGCTGACAGTAGATCATATGAGGCATCCTAAGGGCAAGCATGAGATCCTTCTAAGGGTAGAGTCCTATGCAACTGCATGGGTCGCATGCCACTGGTGGGGGGCTTCCTGGAGGTGGTGGCATTGGGTTCTCTCAATCCCCCTGATAATAGACAGGATTGAGTGTGGTGGAAAGAAGGGGCAAGAGCCAACGGAAAAGATGAGGATCATCTATGTATAGGACTCATCAGTGGCTTCTTTTAAAAATGAATTTATTTAAACAAAAATATCAGTCATTTAAAGAAAAAATTAAGGAAATAAGAGCACATGTGATGTACAGATATGGAGAAAAAAATTGAGTTGTGTCATTTGAACGACTGGAGTTTGGGAAATTGCTATCTGGGTGTGTGCATCTACAGTGTGTAATTGTGAATCTATGCATGGGAGTCTGCATATGGATCTTTGATTGTATCCATGGAAATGAGTGAGTCTATGAGTGTGGGTGTGTGATATATTTATAAAAGTATGTGAAAGTGACAGTGTGTCTGAGCACATGTTATTGTGTGACTGTGTATAAGGGGGTCTGGGGAGGAAAATTTTTCTTATCCTAAGCTTCTCCAAGGGAAATGTACAATTGTGGACTTGTTTACACTGAGCACATCTCTAATACTTCTGTATCTGTCAGCTATTGCCACAATAATGCTGTGTAACAAGTATCTCTCTACCCCACTTAGTGGCTTCAAATGACAAACAGAAATGGGAATAGACTGGGGATAAGAGTAAGACTTCTCTAAAAAAAAAAAAAAAAGAAAAGAAATGGGGAGAGATTGCTAATACAATAGGTATAGGGTTTCTTTTTGGGGTGATGAAAACATTCTAAAATTAATTGTGGTGATGGTTGCACAGCTATAAATATGCTAAAAACTGCTGGATTATACTGTTTACATTGGTGAATTTAACAGTACATGAATGACATTTCACATACTATTAAAAAGCCACAACAACAAACATTGATTTTCTTGCTTGTGAGTGTACGAATTAACTGTAGGTCTGCTGGAATCACTTGGGCTTGGCTCCTGGCTGCAGTTGTGTTCTGGTATGTTCCATGTATTTCTTCTACATTTTTTTTTTTAATCCTCTTGGGTCAGCAACTACTCAGGCATGTTCAAGGTGGCTAGCAGAAGTGCAAGGGGATGAGCAGACACATGTAATGTTTCTTAACACCTTGGCTTGGAGCTAGCACATCACCTCTGCACACATTCCACTGGCAAAAAATCTATGCCACTATCTATAGCTATTGCCAAGCCTGACATCAACAGGAAAGGGAAATAGACTTTCCTCACTCTCATGCATTTCAAGGTCATGTGACAGAAGGGAGTGAAGAATTAAGAAAGATAATCCTATCTACCACACCTGTGTAACATGGTGCTCCTTCTCCTCTGAGATCTACTTAAACATGGCATAGACCCAAATTCCAAGTTGGAGACAGCTTAAAGCCTCCCGTCAATTTCTGCCTGTTCCTGTATCTTATATCCTCTTGCTCTTCTCTTCCTCATACTCCTCCTGGTCTCAGGGCTCTTGTGACTGTGTGAGCTATCTTGCTCCCACCCTGAGTCAAAGCCAGGTTAAAAGCCCCACCCCCTCACTATTTTTGAGAAGAAACCCAGTCACACTCAGCATTTAGTACATGTAGTGATTTTGTGGAAGATTTGAAAGGTTATGCAGAAGGATTGCAAGTTGCACAACCTTCTACTGCATTTATGGCCCCGCCACTCTCCCATTCCTGGCGGAGACATTAGGGAAGGCTTCCTAGGGGAGGTGGCATTTGAACAGATCTTGAAGGCTGAGAAAGAGTGAGGCATAAGATGGTGGCAGGAAAGAACATTCCAGACAGAGGGAACAGCAGCATGGACAAGAGAGGAAACATCTGGTGTAGTCGAGAAAATGCAAGTCGTTGGCATGGCTGGAGTGGAAGATGTGAGCTGGGGAGTGCTGGGGGGGTGAGGCTAGAATGCTGCACAGGCCCATGAATGGCTTGTTCTGTGTTCAGCTAGGCTAGAACCACTTTTCCAGAATTACCATCTCCATATGGTTCTGGGTTGGCATTAGCCACAGGAGAAATTTGTATGAGATTTGGAAGGTGGGAGTGAAACTGAGCCATATTTTTAATGCTAAGAAGGTCAATGCAGAGCCCCAGACACTGTGGACACAGCTTCCAGTTGGTGCTCTCAGTTGTCCTTGTGGTTCCCAGTTCATCCTCAAGGTTCCAATTTTTCCTAGCTCTCATTCATGTCCAGCCTCCTCCTTGACAGCTGATATAAGTGACCCAGAGACAACATTAGTGAATAGAGTCCTCTACCAGCTCTCACAATTGTGTAAGGTCTAACCCTGTAATAAATCCCTTCTCTGATGCTCACAGTGGATCTCTGATTGAACCCTGAGTGATAGACCTTTGTGTGCCACACTGAGGAATTGGGGCTTCATCTTATAGACTTGTTTTTCTCAACTTTTTGTCATTTGAGGACTGCAGTGGCAGAGGTAATGCTAAATGTTCACCATTCTTATCTTCTTCCTGGGCTCGTGCTTTAGTTCCAGCCTCCCTTGCAGCTAAGTGGAACTATGTGATGAAGTTCTAGCCAATGGAATGTGGGCTAAAGTGAAGTGTTCATGTCTAGGCCTGGTCTCCCAAATCCTTCCACACGACACCACAGCCTCTCTCTCAGTTCTCTAGTTGGCCAGCTGAACGCAGAAGGTTCCATGGTGGACCCCAAGGTGTGGGGGGTTTCAGAGCCACTAGCTGGAAGGAGCCTGAGTTCCTGAATGACTCTGTGGAATCGAGACTCTGACTGCCTTGCACTGGGCTGTGACTTGAGAAGCATAACTTTATTATGTAAAGCCAGTGGGATTTGGAATTATTTGCTAGAGTGGGTAGCCAACATCTGTACCATTACTGATTTAATCACATTTTAAAAATAAGTTTACTCTTTTTTTTTTTTTTTTTTTTTTTTGAGGCGAAGTCTTGCTCTGCCACCCAGGCTGGAGTGCAGTGGTGCTATCTCGGCTCACTGCAAGCTCCGCCTCCTGGGTTCACACCATTCTCCTGCCTCAGCCTCCTGAGTAGCTGGGACTACAGGTGCCCACCACCACGCCCGGCTAATTTTTTGTATTTTTAGTAGAGATGGGGTTTCACCGTGTTAGCCAGGATGGTCTCGATCTCCTGACCTCGTGATCTGCCCGCCTCGGCCTCCCAAAGTGCTGGGATTACAGGCGTGAGCCACCGCACCCAGCCTCATTTTTTTTTTTTTTTTTTTTTTTTTAAGATGGAGTCTAGCTTTGTCACCCAGGCTGGAGTGTAGTAGCATGATCTCGGCTCACTGCAACCTCTGCCTCTTGGGTTCAAGCGATTCTCTTGCCTCAGCCTCCTGAGTAGTTGGGATTACAGGTGCCACCACGCCTGGCTAATTTTTGTATTTTTAGTGGAGACGGGGTTTCACCATGTTGACTAGGCTGGTCTCGAACTCCCGGTGTCAGGTGATCCACCTGCCTCGGCCTCCCAAAGTGCTGGGATTACAGGCGTGAGCTACCATGCCTGGCCAGTTTACTTTTTATAGCTTTAATTTATTTGAAAAGAACTTTTTATTACTATTTATAAATGCAAAAGCAGTATCACTCATAGTAGAGAGAAGGTAATGATAACAAAGAAGTGGTATGAAAATCAAACAATGATGTGATATTCTTTCCATATCTTGTTCAGGACAAGAGCTCCGAAGCCTGAGCCTGCTCTCACTTTGTTATAACGGGAGATTAACAAGTGCTTGACAGATGTTAAAGACAGGGTGGAACCAAACTAGACTTTTTCTGCAATATTCTTGAAACACCATATTATCATGATTATATGATAATCACACCATACTTTATGAAACTACATGAGGGAAATAAAACCGATGAATAATTTTTAAACATTCCTTACCATGGGAAATTTCTTTCTTTCTTTCTTTCTTTCTTTTTTTTTTTTTTGAGACAGGGTCTCACTCCATTACCCAGGCTGGAGTGCAGTGGTGATCTTGGCTCATTGCAACTTCTGCCTCCCAGGTTCAAGCGATTCTCCTGTCTCAGCCTCCTGAGTAGCTGAGATTACAGGCATGTGCCACCACACCCAGCTAATTTTTGTATTTTTAGTAGAGTCGGTGTTTCGCCATGTGGGCCGGGCTTGTCTCAAACTCCTGACCTCGGGTGGTCCACCCGCCTCGGCCTCCCAAAGTGCTGGGATTACAGGTATGAGCACCGTTCCTGGCCTGTAATGGAAAATTTCAGACACACACATATAAACATCATGAAGATAGTACCATAAACCCCTGGGTATGCATTACGCAGCTTTAACAACTACCAACCCTCTGCCATTCTTACTACATCTCCTACCCCTTACACATACCCTACTTCCTTTTCTTGATGGTCTTGTTGGAATATCTTTTTTTTTTTTTTTTTTTTTTGAGACAGGGTCTCACTCCGTCGCTGGAGTGCAGTGGCATGATCAGGGCTCACTGAAGCATTGAGCTTCTGGGCTCAAGCCATCCTCCCACCTCAGCCTCCAGAGTAGCTGGGACCACAGGCACGTGCCACTGTGCTTGGCTAATTTTTTAAATTTTTTGTAGAGACAGGGTCTTGCTATATTGCCCAGGCTGGTCTCAAACTCCTGGCCTCTAGCGATCCTCCAGCTTCGGCCTCCCAAAGTGCTAGGATTATAGGCATGAGCTACCATGCCCAGCCTGGAATATCTTTAAATAAATTCCAGACATCATAACACTGTAATACATATTTCTTTTTTTTTTTTTTTTGAGACAGAGTCTCACTTTGTCACCAGGCTGGAGCGCAGTGGTGTGACCTTGGCTCACTGCAACCTCCACCTCCTGGGTTCAAGTGATTCTCCTGCCTCAGCCTCCCAAGTAGCTGGGACTACAGGTGCGCACCACCACACCCACCTAATTTTTGTATTTTTAGTAGAGACGGGGTTTTGCCATGTTGGCCAGGATGGTCTCGATCTCTTGACCTCATGATCTGCCCGCCTCGGCCTCCCAAAGTGTTGGGATTATAGGCGTGAGCCACCGCACCCGGAATGCAATATGTATTTCTAACAATAAACGCATTAGAAAATATTCACAATACCATTATCATACTTAAAGAATTAACACTTCCTAAGCCGGGCGCTGTGGCTCACGCCTGTAATCCCAGCACTTTGGGAGGCTGAGAGCGGGTGGATCACCTGAGGTCGAGAGTTCAAGACCAGCCTGACCAACATGGAGAAACACCGTCTCTACTAAAAATACAAAATTAGCCAGGCATGGTGGCACATGCCTGTAATCCCAGCTACTCGGGAGGCTGAGGCAGGAGAATCGCTTGAACCTGGGAGGTGGAGGTTGCAGTGAGCCAAGATCGCACCATTGCACTCCAGCCTAGGCAACAAGAGCGAAACTCCGTCAAAAAAATAAATAAATAAAATTAAAAAACCACACTTCCTTGTTACCATCTAATATTCTATGTTCAATTTGCCCTAATGACTACAAAAATGAGGTTTTGCAGTTGGTCTGTTGAAGTCAGGATCTGAGCAAGGGCACACATTGCATTGATTGATATATACTTAGTCTCTTTCTACCCTGTGGGGGATTAATTGCCAAAAAATGGTCTCTTTCTGTATTCACGTCCTTCGCAAGGTGAAGGCGGCTTCTCTTGTTGAGGAGGAGTCTATTTTCAACCTTTGAATCTGGGCTTGGTCAGGTGACTTGCTTGGGCCAATAGAATGCAGCAGAAGTAAAAGTGAGTGCCGTCTCGGTCCCAGCCTTGATGCCTCTACGTGATTCTACATGCTTCTTGGACCCCTGCCTCAGCAAGGAGAGCAAGCCCAGGCAGCCTGCTGTGGGACAAGAGACTGTGGGCAGAAGAGCTGTGCCAGGTGAGGCTGTTCTAGGCCAGCCCATCTTCTGACCCGCCAGCTGACCACAGAACATGAGATCAGCCCAGCCCAGCTCAGCTGAACCTGGCCCAGACCAAAAGAGCCACAGCTTCTTGTGTAATAATAATTGTTATTTTAAAATCACTAAATTTGGCCAGGCGCAGTGGCTCACGCCTGTAATCCCAGCACTTTGGGAGGTCCAGGTGGTTGGATCACTTGAGCCCAGGAGTTCAGACCAGCCTGGGCAACAGGAAGAAACCCTGTGTCTACTAAAAATAGAAAAATTAGCTGGGTATGGTGGTGTGCGCCTGTGGTCTCCACTACTCAGGAGGCTGAGATGGGAGGGTCACCTGAGCCTGGGACTGGAGGTTGCCATGAGTCGAGATCTCACCATTGCACTCCAGCCTGGGCCACAGAGTGAGAACCTGTCTCAAAAAAATAAATAAATAAATAAATAAAAATAAAAAAATAGGCCAGGCGCAGTGGCTCACACCTGTAATCCCAGCACTTTGGGAGGCCAAGGTGGGCAGATCGCCTGAGGTAGGGAGTTCCAGACCAGCCTGACCAACATGGAGAAACCCTGTCTCTACTAAAAATAAAATTAGCCAGGCATGGTGGCACATGCCTCTAATCCCAGCTACTCGGGAGGCTGAGGCAGGAGAATCGCTTGAACCCTGGAGGCGGAGGTTGAGGTGAGCCGAGATTGTGTCATTGCACTCCAGCCTGGGCAACAAGAGCGAGACTCAGTCTCAAAATAAATAAAAAATAAATAAATCACTAAATTCTAGTGTAATTTATTATATAGTATTATTGTGGACAATAGATAACTGATACAAATCTACAAATTTCTTCCTGTTTTTTAAAATGTCATTTACTTGCTGAAGACCCTGGAGCCTTGTCCTTCCGTTTCCGACATTCTAGATTTTTGCTAATTACATTCCAGGTGTTATTTACTGTTAGCCTCCATATTCCTTGTAAATGGGTAGTTAATCTACAGGCTGGATTAGAGTCACATGGGGCAAGAACACTTTATAGAGATTCTTGTTCGCATCACATTAGGAAGCTCTCAATGTTTGGTTATCCCACTTGGAGTGATGTCAGGTTTGGTCAGTGGGTTCAGTGAATAATTTTAGACAAGGTTGGGACACCCAGGGGAGACTTCCTGGAGGAGTCAGGTTTGAGTTGAGCCTCTTTTTTAAAATGAATTTTATGTATTTATTTTTAAGACAGGGTCTTTTAAGACAGGATCTCTGCTCCGAGTTGAGCCTCTTTGAAAGATGGGTGGGATTTAGATAGGCAGAGAGAAGGAGGACACATCCAATGTGGGGAGGGAGGGGTGGATGGCATGAGTCAGAGAGTGTTTTGAAAATGCAGAGCAATAACCAGCAATAACCTTCTATCAGCTTCCTTTATTATCCTCTGGTATAGAGGTCAGGGCAGGAACCAGATTTTATCTCAGGTTGTAATTCTAATGGGTTGGTAATGGGTACATGGAATACTTTGTTGAGATACATTGTGAAACCACATTCTTGCTCAGTGGGAAACTTGCTGTAATTGACTGGTGGTGTCTGTCACAGATCTAGGAAGCCTTGGTGGTGGTACAATTGCTATGAATCTGCTCCAGATCAATGCCTCTGCTCCCGCCTCGGGGTCTTTGACATGGAAGCCCATAAGGAAATGAGGGCTGAAAGGGATATCTAACATGGACTGTGGCAGACCTTAGCAACATTCATTCACTTTTTTTTTTTTGAGGTGTAGTCTCACTCTGTCACCCAGACTGGAGCGCAGTGGCATGATCTCAGCTCGCTGCAACCTCCACCTCCCCAGTTCAAGCAATTCTCCTGCCTCAGCCTCCCAAGTAGCTGGGATTACAGGTGTGTGCCACCATGCAAAGCTAATTTTTGTATTTTTAGTAGAGAGGAGTTTTCACCATGTTGGCCAGGCTGGTCTAGAATTCCTGAGCTCAAGTGATCTACCCGCCTTGGCCTCCCAAAGTGCTGGGATTACTGGCATGAGGCACTGTGCCCAGCTGCTCCATTTCCTTTTAAGGAGAGCCCTGTTCCAGCTGCTGAAAGTGGTGTCCTCAGAGAGCATCCAGGTGTCAGGTCCTTGGGCTGAGCCCCTGCCTCACCTGCAGAAGGCCACCTTGCCCAAGGTCACATAAATTTCCTGGGATGTCCCACGTCTAGTAATTTTGATTAGGGGATATACAAAGGTCTGGCCATCTTGGCCCAATCTAGACAATTCTGAACAGCCATCTTAACTTCCTGTTTCCTGGTGGGGTTGGTAAATATGGTGTTGCACCTGCATTTCAGGTCAACTTCTCTCCCTACCCACTCCTGCTTCCTCTCTGCTCCTTCCCCAGGAGGTGATCTCAAGGGGGCTTCTTCAAATATCCCCTAAACACTAAATTCTATCTTAGAGTCTGCTTCCTGGGGATCCTAATGTGGGATACACATAAGTCAAACAGGAGTTTTGAGAAACAATATTTATCTTTTCTATGTGTCATGCATTCTCATATTATCTATACTATTTTATTTATTTTCATGTTGGTCATGACCCACTACATTGATTTCAGTCAGCCATGGCTTTGAAAACACCTGCCTGGGCTATGCCCGTGAAGCATGGAGGATGGTTAGCATGTCCTTTGGGCTGTCTTTGGCTGCAAGTAAAAGAGCGCCTGGCTAAACATGGATTAAATACTAGGGGTTCCTTTTTTGCATAATAGATTTGGTAATAGGTGATTTCAAAGTTAGTTCATCTCAACAGCTTCATCAATGACCTGGGTTCTTTCCATGTATTTCCTCTCTGATACCCTTGACATGTTGGCCATGTCTCCTCATAGTCACAGAATGGCTGTCGCTGCCACTGCCAGGTATCACATCCTCATACAACCACCTCTAAAGGAAGCAGGTGTGGAGAGCAGCTCCTCACACATTTATTTTATTCAGAAAAAAAAAAATTCTGCAGTTAAATTCAGAAAAAAAAAAAATTCTGCAGAAGCCCCAGGAACAGCCTTCTCCTTATGTCTCCTTGGCTAGAAGTGGGTCATTGTTTATGTCTAATGAATCTCTGCCCATCCAATACCTAAGGTTTCATTAGCAAAAACAAAAAGATGACTAGGCCGGGCACAGTGGCCCACTCCTGTAATCCCAGCACTTTGGGAGGCTGAGACGGGTGGATTACTTGAGGTCAGGAGTTCGAGACCAGTCTGGCCAACTTGGTGAAACCCCATCTCTACTAAAAATACAAAAATTAGCTGGGTGTGGCTGTGCGTGCCTGTAATCCCAGCTACTCAGGAGGCTGAGGCAGGAGGATTGCTTGAACTTGGGAGGCGGAGGTTGCAGTGAGCTGAGGTCATGTACTGCATTCCAGCCTGGGTGACAGAGCAAGACTCTGTCTCAAAAAAACAAAAAAAACAAAAAAAACCAAAGGAAATGGAGCATTTCATGCCCATCACAGTGTGTGTGTGTGTTTGTGTGTGTGTGTGTTTGTGTGTGTGTGTGTGTGTGTGTGTCACTAGATTGTGATGCAAATGTCTTCCTTATTGTGGGTCCTGGTCAGAGTGGTTTGCAAGCCCCTGGCTGGGCTGGGCTGTGCTTCTACCTGAGTTGTTTTTCTCCTAATTGCCTTGTGGGGTATAGTCACTTTTTCCAAGGCTCTGTTTGTGAGAAGCAGCCCTGCATTCATGAGGCAGCCCCCTGGCATATTTGAACACCAATGCCAGGCAGAGCTGTTGGTGCCTCCCATGCATTAAGAAATGGCAGCTGCTGCTGATGTCCCCAGATGAAAATGACTAAGGAGGGCTAAAGCCAAGCAATGTCACTGCTACCCCTGATGCATACACTCACAGGAGCCTTCTGGTTTCCAGGGTCCTCCTCTATCCTGTCTTGGCTGCCTCCTCCTTGACCCTTGGTTTCTTTCTTTCTCTGTCTCCCTTCCCAGAAGATTGTCTTCAGCAAATTGTATTTTAAGTCATGTAATGATGAGTTGGTTAGAGGCTCAGAGCTAGCTCTGCCCTTGGCAAAAATCTGGATGAACCTCTCACGCTGTTGGTTTGCAAAGCCCTCCATGTGTGGCTCTTTGCTTGTTGCCTGGAACAGCAGGGAGGGACAGGAGAGTAAGAACCTTATGGGCTGTGCTTCTGCCCTCTGGGAATGTAGGCTTGCGTGTCTGCAGAGCTCCCGTGTCAGGCTTCTTGTGTGCCCAACTGCCCTAGGGAGCGTGCTAAAAATGCAGATTCCTGGGCTGCTCCAAAAGTCCAGTGAGTGACCCGGGGATCTGTATTTTACAAAAACCAAAACTTTTCACTGACATAATTTCATCCTTAAAGAAAAGTCACAAGAATAGTTCCAAAGAGTGATGTATAGCTCATCACATTTGCTCTATCACTTCTCACTTTCCAGATATAAATATGCGTATTTTTTTTTCTGAATCATTTGAGAAGTTACAAACGTAATGCCTCTTTACCTGAGCTTACCTCCTGAGATCAAGGAAATTCTCTTACATAACTCAGCACTGAATTATGAAATTTAGGATACTTAGCATCAATGTGAATATCTAATCCACAGTACATGGTAAGTTTCCCTAATTGTCACCACCCCTTTATTTTTTAATGATCACACATTGCTTTAGTTATATTAGAACAAAAAATTCGTTCTCTTTTATTTTTTTTGAGACAGAGTCTCACTCTGTCGCCCAGGCTGAAGTGCAATGGTGTGATCTCGGCTCACTGCAACCTCTGCCTCCTGGGTTCAAGTGATTCTCATGCCTTAGCCTCCTGAGCAGCTGGGACTACAGGTGTGTGCCACTACACTCGGCTAATTGTTTTGCATTTTTATTAGAGATGGGTTTTCACCATGTTGGCCAGGCTGGGCTCGAACTCCTGGCCTCAAGTGTTCCACCCGCCTCAGCTTCCCAAAGTGCTGGGATTACAGGTATGAGCCGCCGTGCCCAGCCTATCTCTTTTAATCTGAGAGTTCTTCAGCACCCCCCCACCCCCATCATTCATGACCTTGACATTCTATTTCTTCTATCTCTTCCTCCTCCTCCTCCTCTTCCTCTTTCTCCCCTTCCCCTTCCCCTTCTCCTTCTCCTTCTTCTTCTTTTTCTTTAGAAATGGGGTCTTGCCATGGTGCCCAGGGCAGCCTGGGTTCAGGCTATCCTCCCACATTGGCCTCCGCAGACTTGGATATTTTACAAGTGTTTAGACCACTTGTTTTGTAGAATGCCCCTCAGTTTGCGTTTGTCTGGGGAACCTGTATTTTTAACATCTCCGTTGACCTTGAAACCTTTGAGAGGATTGGGCAGCCCTGTGTAAGATACACATATTTACAACTCTTACCTTTCAAGATTCAAAGGACTTGAAAAAAAGAGCTTTGCGGGGCATCAGATTTAGTTCCTCAGAGGGGTTTTGAGTTGGGGACATTTTTTTTCAAGATCCGATTTGCTCAGAATTCAAATCACAGAGATTTCTTAATTGCCTGGGTTGCTAAGCTGGCTGAGTCTTAAGGGATCCTGCTGGGCTTTTAATTTCTCTGACTTTGATCCTGTGGAAGGCGGGAGGGTTTTGGCAAGGTCGAGGAGCAGGCTGGCAGGTGGGAAGTGGAGGGCAGACAGGGGTCAAGGCTGGGCGGGGATAAAAACAGCAACGTGGCTGGGTGCAGTGGCTGTTTGTAATCCCAGGTCTTTGGGAGACGGGCAGATCAGTAAAAATACAAAAATTAGCCGGGTGTGGTGGCAGGTACCTGTAATCCCAGGTACTTGGGAGGCTGAGGCATGAGAATCGCTTGAGCCCAGGAGGCAGAGGTTGCAGTGAGCCGAGATCACGCCATTGCACTTCAGCCTGGGTGACAGAGGGAAACTGTCTCAAAACAAAAACAAAAACAAACAACAACAACAAAAACCAAAAAACAAACAAACAAAAACCTCAAAAAACAGCAACGTGTCCTCCCTGCACAATAAGTGCCAGCAATATGCTGGGCACTCTTGGCTGATCTGTCCCCCAGGACTCTCACCATTCTATTATCATTAGCTCCATTTCACAGATGAGGCGACTGAGGTTCAGAGAGGTGACATCACTTATCCCTTATTGCTTAGTTAGGAAGTGGCTGAGCTGGGATTTTGTTGTTTTTTGAGACAGGATCTCACTCTGTCACCCAGGTTGGAGTGCAGTGGTGCCAACATGGCTCACTGCAGCCTGGAACTCCTGGGCTCAGGTGATACTCTCACCTCAGCCTCCAGAGCAACTGTGACTACAGGTATGCGCCACCATACCCAGCTTATTTATTTATTTTTGGGACAGAGTCTCACTCTGTCGCCCAAGTTGGAGTGCAATGGAGTCATCTCAGTTCACTACAGCCTTGACCTCCTGGGCACAGGTGATCCTCCTGCCTCAGCCTCCCAAGTAGCTGGGACGACCCGCATGCATCACCAAGTCTGGCTAATTTTAAATTTTTTCTTGGTCAAGGCTGGTTTTGAACTTCTGGGCTCAAACAATCCTCTCATCTTGAACTCCAAAGTGTTGGGATTACAGGCATGAGCCACCACACCCAGCCTTGAGCTGGGATTTGAACCTAAGCCTGTCTGACTGCAAACAGGCTTTCACTGTGTTTGCTTAACCATTGTGGCATCCCTCTCACCAGGGATCAAATAAGGTCCAGAAAGTTCTGGAAGGAACCCAATTTCATGAATGAGAAGCACGCAATTTGACCCAAACACCAGCTTAACTGAGGCTGTGATCTGGCTGTGTTGGGGTGCGCCCCATCTGTTAGGTGGTCTTTAGACCTCACCATCTGCAGCTGAGTACATGCTGGAGCCAGATGGCTTGAGTTCGAATTGTGGCTCTGCCATTAACTAGCAGTGTGACCCTGGGCAGTCCTGGGTGTCTTCTGGTGGCCTCCCCAGATCCCTTCCCTGCCCCTTCCACTTTCTGGGCACCTGGGAGTTTGCCCTCTGCTTTTGGGTGGATTTGGCCAATTGGGAACCTGGACGGAATAGAGGGCAAGAGGGGAGGGGGCTCACGATGTTCATTTTCCCAGCTCCTTCTGGTGGGGACACCATACATTCTTCCACTGAAGGCCACGGTTTCAATCAGGCCTCTCTCCCAGCCAGGACAGCCACTGGGTCTGGTTTTGGAAGCCTCCTCTTCTAAAACACTCCCTCCTGTCTCCTTTAGGGCTGCAGTGCTAACAGCTCCCTGCTGTTTTTTTGTTTTGTTTTGTTTTGTTTTGAGATGGATCTCACTCTGTACCCCCAGGCTGGAGTGCAATGGTGTGATATCTCGGCTCACTGCAACCTCTGCCTCCTGGATACAGGCGATTCTCCTGCCTCAGCCTCCTGAGTAGCTGGGACTACAGGTACCTGCCACCATGCTTGGCTAACTTTTGTATTTTTAGTAGAGACATATCACCATGTTGGCCAGGCTGGCCTTCAACTCCTGACCTCAAGTGATCCGCCTGCCTCGGCCTCCCAAAGTGCTGGGATTACAGGCGTGAGCCACCGTGCTTGGCCCCAGTAGCTACTTTTATTGAGTGCTTACTATGAGCTGAGATTTGTGCTATACCCTTTGTATTACTCAATTCCTCCTCACAATCCTACAAGGTAGGTACAGTCACCATCCTGTTTTACAGATGAGGAAACTGAGGTTCAGGCAACTCAAGCAACTTGTTCAAGGTTACACAGCCGAGAAAACATTGAGACCCTAGGCTCAGGCTGTAGCCACTACCCTGCCTCTGCAGCATGAAGGCAAATATGTGGTCTGAATGGGAATTCATGATACAAGAGGGCAGTATTGTGTCAGCCTGGCCCTGGTTTTGGGACCTGAAACGTTTGGGGCATTTTTGGGTGGGTGGTAGGTGACAGTGAGATGTTTTGCTCTGACACATGCCCAGGGTCACCTGGTCCAATTCCTGCTCAGCTACTTCCAAGCCTTGTCACTCTGGCAAGTTCCCTAACCGCTCTGTGCCTTAACTTATCCTTCTGTAAGATGGGGATAACCACATTACCTGCCTCAGAGGTAATGTTGTGAGGGTTAAATGAATGAATGTATTAAAGAGCTCAGAGCAGCATCTGGTAAATATTTCATTACATTAATGTTAGCTATCATCATCATCATCATTGTCATCTCACCTGTTGGACAACCCATGTGTGTGTGACTGAGGAAATGGAGCATCTTTGGCGAATTCCCTCCTTCCCTTGCTGCCTGGATCTCATCTGGTGCAACTGAGCTGGTCTCTGCTGAATTATTTTACTTCTTTGTCCTCTGCAGCCAAATGGAGACCTCTCCCTGACTCTGCCTGGCCTTCAGACACTTTCAGAAGGCGGTTAACACCATCTGGCCTTGAGAATTCTGAGTCTTTATATTTCAGGATTGAGCTGAGACCTTTGTGAAACATCATCTCTGGGAGGGCCAGCCTGGGCCCAGCTCACAGACATAAGCTGTCCTCATATCCCAACTTCTCATTGACTCACACACGCACTCAGTGCTTTATTGAGCACCTAGTGTGTGTCAGTTGCTGGGCAAGGTGCCAGGGCTGTACTGTAGCAAGGAAAACAGGAGACAAGGTCCCTGCCATCATGAAGCTCATGTGCTACAGGGAGTGACAGACAGCAGGTAAGTAAACAATAACAAATGAATATATAATAGCAGAGAAAAATAACAGCAATGGAAACAAGCAAAGCAGGGGAAGAGGGTTAGACAGTGACTGGGATGGGGAGGTGGATGGTATGTGAGTATTTTAAACTCAAGGAGGTGCTTCTTCCTGGGATGCTCTGGGATATTCTGGGATACCTGAGATAGCCAGGTAAAATCCACTAGGAATTCGTTGCTGACACTGAGGCAGGAGAATAGCGTCTGCAGGCAGGGAAACTAAGGTCAGTTCATGCTGACTTCCTAGAACTAAATCAAAAGGAAAGTCCCAACTTTCCAAGCCCAAGTAACAAAAGGACCAGAGGAACAAAGGACCAGAGGCTGGACTGTGCCCAGCCTGTTCTTCCTACAATCTTTATGCAGATATAGATGAATGTGAAAACAAGAGAGTTTTAAAAAGTCTGAAAGGAGCTAGTTAGAATGTCAATAGAGGTTGCTCACAGAACTGTAAGAGGCAGAGGAGATAGAGGGTGGAACTTCGTTTCTGAGCCTGGCTGCCTGGGTTCATATCCTAGCCTTGCCACTTGCTAGCTGTGAGAAGAGGGCAAATCACTTCACCTATGTATGCCTCAGTTTCCTCATCTGTAAAATGGTGCAATAATGACATGCAGGTATGAGATTATCTTCCTATTTATAAAGCACTTCCAACAGATCTAGTACGTAATGAATCCAATCTAAGTGTTTTTTTCTAACTGTGTTGAAACAAGTGGGCATGAAAAGATTCCTTTTCCACCCTGAGCTACAGATTGAGAAGTTTTTGGGGCTGGGTTCTGCTACCTGTATTAAATATATTTTTTTAAATTAAAAACCTTTTGTTATAGAAAATGTTGAACATACATGAAAGTAGAGAGAATGTTACCTTTTTTTCTAAATTGAGATGGAGTCTCGCTCTGTCGCCCAGGCTGCAGTGCAGTGGCGCGATCTCGGCTCACTCCAAGCTCCGCCTCCCAGGTTCACGCCATTCTCCTGCCTCAGCCTCCCGAGTAGCTGGGACTACAGGCGCCCGCCACCACACCTGGCTAACTTTTGTTTTTGTATTTTTAGTAGAGACGGGGTTTCACCGTGTTAGCCAGGGTGGTCTCGATCTCCCGACCTTGTGATCCACCCGCCTCGGCCTCCCAAAGTGCTGGGATGAGCCACCCACTACAGGCGCCCACCACCACGCCCGGCTAATTCTTTGTATTTTTAGTAGAGATGGGGTTTCACAGTGTTAGCAAGGATGGTCTAGATCTCCTGACCTCATGATCTGCCCGCCTTGGCCTCCCAAAGTGCTGGGATTACAGGCGTGAGCCACCGCGCCCGGCCAGGTGTTTGTTTTTATCCTCCTATTTTTTCCATTTCTAGCACTTTCCATATCTGTAAAATAGGATTAATAATAGTACCTATCTCATAGGGTTATTGTGAGAATTAAATGAATTAATGCTTATAAAATGCTTATAAAATGTTAAAAAACACGGCCTCCCAAAGTGCTGGCATGAGCCACCATGCCCGGCCACAATTTTTTATTTTGTTTCTTTTCTTTTAAGACAGAGTCTTGCTCTGTCGCCCAGGCTGGAGTACAGTGGCACCATCTCAGCTCACTGCAACCTCTGCCTCCTAGATTCAAGTGATCCTCCTGTCTCAGCCTCCCGAGTAGCTGGGACTGCAGGCATGTGCCACCATGCTCCACTAATTTTTTGTATTTTTAGTAGAGATGGGGTTTAACCATGTTGGCCAGGCTGGTCTTGAACTCCTGACCTCAAGTGCTCCATCTGCCTTGGCCTTCCAAAGTGCTGGGATTACAGGCATGAGCCACTGCACCTGGCCTATTTTTTTATTTTCTTGAGACATGGTCTCCCTCTTTTACCTAGGCTGGAGTGCAGTGGCACGATCATGGCTCAGTCACCTCAAACACCTGGGCTCATGGGATCCTCCCACCTCAGCCACCTGAGTAGCTCAGACTATGGGTGTGCACTACTGCACCCAGCTAATTTTCTAATTTCTTTTGTAGAGACGGGGTCTTGCTATGTTGCCAGGGCTGTTCTTGAATTCCTAGGCTCAAGAGATCCTCTTGCCTCAGCTTCCCAAACTGCTGGAATTATAGGCATGAGCCACCTTCCTTGGCTCAGAATATTATAATTAACCTTTGTACACCCATTGTTCATGTCAATGATTAGCAACTCATGGTGACACCTGCATTTTTAACAAGGCCCTGGTGCACACTACATCTTGAGAAACCCCCAGTGGAATTCCAGGACGCTCCTGAGGCTGTTACTGGAAAGGGGTCCCGATCCAGACTCCAAGAGAGGGTTCTTGGATCTCTCGGAAGAAAGAAGTCGAGTGAGTCCATAGAGTAAAGTGAAAGCAAGTTTATTAGGAAAGTAAGGGATAAAAGAATGGCTACTCCATAGACAGAGCAGCCCTGAGGGCTGTTAGTGGCCCTATTTTTATGGTTATTTCTTGATGATATGCTAAACAAGGGGTGGATTATTCATGCCTCCCCTTTTTAGATCATATACGGTAACTTCCTGACATTGTCATGGCATTTATAAACTGTCATGATGCTGGTGGGAGCGTAGCAGTGAGGACGACCAGAGGTCAAGTCTTGTTGCCATCTTGGTTTTGGTGGGTTTTAGCCGGCTTCTTTATTGCAAACTGTTTTATCAGCCAGGTCTTTATGACCTGTATCTGCCTACCTCCTATCTCATCCTGTGACTTAGAATACCTTAACCATCTAGGAATGCAGCCCGGTAGGTCTCAGCCTCATTTTACTCAGCCCCTATTCAAGATGGAGTTGCTCTGGTTCACATCCCTCTCACAAGGCCTGTTGGATACATGTTAGTTTGTTGGGATTTTGCTAGACAAATTGCTAATCTTGAAATCAGAAAAGATGATAACAAAAAACTTTTTTTCTCTCCCAAGAAAAATTTTGTCTGCTCCTAAGAAGAGGATTTTCTGTCCAAGTTCAGTGGACGAGAGCACCAGACACCCCCTGGAAAGACTCAAGATTCCAGCCCTGTCCTGTGGTCCCTTCAACTGACAGCAACCACTCACTCCCCAGCCCCACTTACTATCAAGGGAGCCCAGGGCCTGCTTCACCCAGGCCCTGGGAACAAGATTTGAGAAGCAAATGAATTGTGTGAGTTAATTCAAGGGCCACCTTTGGCTCCCTTAGCAGCACAAATTGTCCCTGAGGACATTGACTCGATTCTTGGATACAAAGGGAGATACGAATTTACCTTTGACTGCTCTCTGGGCATTAAAGCTGGTCTTGAATGTTTTCTCTGGGCGGTTCCCTGTCATTAGGGAGGTGCCCACATTTACCAAATCAACGAGCCCGATTTCACCTGGTCACACCCTTCCTTGGCACAGAAAACAGTGACTTCTTTTTCCTCCTGCTAATTTGCTGTCAAGATGTTCTACTAATCATCATCATAATTACTAATATTCACTGCCCACTTAGTAAGCTCTTTATACCCATTAACTCAATTCATTCTTGCAACGACCTTGTGAGGTGAAACTATTGTTACCCACAGATCACAGAAGAGGACACCGAGGCCTACAGAACTGTGGCAAAGACTGCTCCATGTTCCCAACATCCATTTTTTTCCCTCTTTCAAAGTAAAAGAAATCCAATTTTACTAGGGAACATGGCTGTCCAGAATTCCCAGCCTCCTTTGTGGGTAAGTGTGGCCATGGGACTCTGGTATGGGCTAAGGATGTCGGGGGAAGAGTCCCGCAGTGGTTCTGAAACACTCTCTCTAAGAGGTCACTGCTTCTTCATCCCTTCTTTTATTCTGGCATCTGGAACTTGAAGGCCACCATCTTGAACTGCGACGTAGGAGTGCCCTGAATGGAGGTGCATCTGGCTGGGAGGATACCATTGACCACCATAACCAGGCCTAGTTAAGAAAGAAATAAGCTTCTTCCTTCTTTATTCTTCCTTTTTCCTCCTCCTCCTCCTCCTTCTTCTTCTCCTTCTACTTCTCCTTCTTCTTCTTCTCCCCGTTCCCCTCCCCTTCCCTTTCCCCCTCCTTCCCCCTCCCTCCTCCTCTCCCCCTCCTCTTCTTCTTTCTTCTTCTCCCTCTCCTCTCCCCTTCCTTTCCCCCTCTCCCTCCCTCCCCCTCCTCCTCCCCTCTCCCCAGTCCCCTCCTTCTTCTTCTTCTTCCTCTTTCTTCTTCTTCCCTCTCTCCCCTCCCCTTCCCTTTCCCCCTCCCCTTCCCTCCCCCTGTCCCTCCCCCTCACCCCCTCCTTCTCTCCCCTCTCCCTTTATCCTCCTTCCCCTCCTCCTCCTCCTTCTTCGTCTTCTTCCCCTTTCTTCTTCTTCTCCCTCTCCCTCTCCCCCTCCCCTTCCCTCTCTCCATCCCCTTCCCTCTCCCCCTCCCCTTCCCTCTCCCCCTCCCCTCTCCCCTCCCTCTTCCCTCCCTCTCTAGCTCCCCTTTTTCCTCTCCCCTTCCCTTTCTCCTTCTCCCCCTCCCCCTCCACCTTCTTCTTTCTTCTTCTTCTCCTTCTCCTTCTCCTTCTTCCTCTTCTTCTTTTTCGGTAGAGATGAGTTCTCACTGTGTTGCCCAGGCTGGTCTTGAACTCCTGGACTCAAGGGATCCTCCTGCCTTGGCCTCCCAATGTGCTAGGATTACAGGCGTGGGCCACTGTGCCCAGCCTCTTCTTTCTTCTCAAAGCTTTACATTTTTATTTATTGAGTCAAACCTCAATACCAAACATGGTGACAGAATTGGGACTTGAATCTACATCTGTGTGACTCTTAACTAACCTATCTGCAATTGTAGGGGTATATTGTATAACCCTGTAGGATTCAGAAAACCCTTGTCCAAGGCGTTATCTCACATGGTCTCAGATATCAATTCACTTTTGAGTAAGGAGTCTGTTTTTTTTGTTTTTGTTTTTTTGAGACAGAGTTTGCTCTGCTGCCAGGCTGGAGTGCAGTGGCGCAATCTTGGCCCTCCACCTCCTGGGCTCAAGTGATTCTCCTGCTTCAGCCTCCCGAGTAGCTGGGATTACAGGTGTGTGCCACCAAGCCCGGCTAATTTTTGTATATTTAGTAGAGACTGGGTTTCACCATGTTGGCCAGTCTGGTCTCGAACTCCTGGGCTCAAGCGATCCGCCCTCCTTGGCCTCCCAAAGTGCTGGGATTACAAGCATGAGCCACCACGCCTGGCCAGAAGTGTGTACTCTAAATGGGTGAATTGCAATGTATGGGAATTATATGCCAATAAAGCTGTTAAAAAAAAATAGTGCTGAGGTTGAGAAGCCCAGAACTAGGAGGTATTAATTTGAGAGAAGAAACTTGGGGGATCAAGTGAGGGGACAGGTTAGGCAGGCTAAGGAGTTTTATCTTTGTCACCACTGATGGGTGACAAGACTGGTGGACTCACCCCTGGAGATGCATTCATATTTCAAGGTTGTTTGGGCACCTACCTTGTGCTGGGCATTTTCATGTATAGCATTCTGTATCATCCTCACGATGAATCTGCAGTTAGGTCTGGCCAGCTCATTGTGGAGATGAGTAGCTGAGGCTCAGAGAGGTTTGGCGACTTGACCAAAGCTGCACAGCTGGGGTCTGAACATGTTTGGACCCTGTGGCTTTCTATGCTGCGCCCTGACTCTCACTGAGGGCTGTGGACCAGCTGGTGGCAGGGGGGTCACCTTGCCTCTGCTCTCTCCTGTTACAGCCCTGGTTGCAGCTTGAGTCCTGGAAATGCCCCCAGGAGACCCTTCTCAGAGTGCTGATGTCATCCCTGGGCTGGGGTGCAGCTGGCATCTGGATGGGGGTTGGTTGCTTAGCAATGTAGATGCAGATTCTGCCCTGAGCAGAGGGAACCATCTTATAGTCTTGGCTGCGGGAACTTCAAGGAGAACAGCCCCAGGAGGGCCTTGGGAACCTGGGGCCTGTTCTGAGTTGGGAGGACTGGAAACAGCTTTGTCCCTGGGCTGGACTGGACAGGGAGAGCCCTCCTTAAGGGGGTGATTGAGCTTTAGAGGACAGAAAAGGAGAACCATGAGGCCTGGGTTGATCATAGTGATATTGTTATTATAACCACAGCTACCTTTCGTGAGCACCACCTGCACTATGCCAGGTACTGCGCTAACGTGCCTTAATTCCATCATCCTCCCTGAGCCCCTTGCTATAGGTTACTATTAGCATCCCCTTTGCAAAGAAGGAAGCCAGGGCTTATACGGGTTAATTGACTTGCCTGTAGCCAGAAAGTGGAGCACCTGGGACCTGAACCCCAGCTTCTCTAACACCCTGGATCACCTCACATTGCAGCTCTGACTGGGCACCTGGTGGAGAGACTTCACCATGTGTCTCCAAGGTCCTGTGTGGTCTGTTCTACTCTCTCTGTGGCTCTCCTTTGCCAGCTCCAGACATCATGTCCTTGCTTCATTTCTGGAAACACTCAGACCTCCTTCCAGCTACGGGGCCTTTGCACTTGCTGGTTCGTCTGCTCAGGGTGCTCTTTCATCCCTCTAGTCACGTGGTTTGCACTGACTCATCCTGGTCTCCAATGCAACATCCTTTCATTCATTCATCCATTGATCCAAACATAGTTATTGGCCGGCCATTGTGGCTCAGGTCTGTAATCTTAGCACTTTCGATGGCCGAGGTGGGTGGATCACCTGAGGTCAGGAGTTCAAGACTAGCCTGGCCAACATGGTGAAACCCCATCTCTACTAAAAATATGAAAATTAGCCAGGTGTGGTGGCACGTGTCTGTAATCCCAGCTACTTGGGTGGCTGAGGTGCAAGAATCACTTGAACCCGTGAGACAGAAGTTGCAGTGAGCCGAGTTCTCGCCACTGCACTCCAGCCTGGGTGACAGAGCAAGACTCTGTCTCAGAAAACAAAAACCAAAAAACCTCACATAGTTATGGTGCCTCCCAATGCCAGGTAAACATTAGTAAATAAAATATACACGATCCCAGACCTCTTGGAGCTTACACACTGGTGCCAGAGGCAGACAATGAATGATAAATGAATGGACAAGCCAATAAAGACACAGTTGCAAACTCTCTCTCCTCCTTGGAAACATTCCCTGACTCCCCTGCCCTTTGGCAAGAATAGATCCGGTCTCCCTTTCAGATACACTCATGGCCTTTCACAGTGGTTAGGCCAACAATAACTAATCACTTAATTGTGTAATTATTTAATGCTGGTCTGCCCTCTTAGGCTGTGGGTTCTGTGAGGCCAGGGACTGTGAGGCCATCTGGGACTTGCTCACAGGTTTGTTCACAGCACCCACCATAGCTGCTCCTTCAACACCGTTTAACAATAATAACAAACACTTACACAGCACTTGTGAAGCACCAGGTGCTGTTCGAAGTGCTACCTGTGCAGTAAGTTATTAAATCTTCTCAACAATTCTATAAGGTCAGACTATTTTTTTTTGTTAGACAGAGAATGAATAACTATTCTTATTCATATTTTACAGATGAGGAAACTGAGGCACAGAGAGTTGGCTCACTGCAACCTCTGCCTCCCAGGTTCAAGCGATTCTTTTGCCTTAGCCTCCCGAGTAGCTGGGACTACAGGCATCTGCCACCACACCCAACTAATTTTTGTATTTTTAGTAGAGACGGGGTTTCACCATGTTGGCCAGGTTGGTCTCAAACTCCTGACCTCAGGTGGTCACCTGCTGTGGTCTCCCAAAGTGCTAGGATTACAGGCATGAGCCACTATGCCTGGCTGGTGCTAGACCTGAGCTCATGGCTCCAGGGCCCATGTTTTCAATCAGTAGTCCCTGAATGAAAGTAAGAAAGGAAGGAAGGAAGAAAGAGAGGAAGGAGGTAGGGAAGGAGGGAGGGAAGGAAGGAAGGAGGGAGGGAAGGAAGGAAGGAGGGAAGGAAGGAAGAAAGGAAGGAAGGAGGGAGGGAGGAAAGAAGGAAGGGAGGGAGGGAAGAAAGGAAAGAAGGAAGGACGGAAGGGAGGGAGGGAAGAAAGGAAGGAAGAAAGGGAGGGAAGGAAGAAAGGGAGGAAGGAGGGAAGGAAGAAACAGAGGAAGAGGGAAGGAAGGAAGGAAGGGAAGGAGGGAGGGAGGGACGGAGGGAGGGAATGGAAGGAAGGAAGAAAGGAAAGAAGGATGGAAGGGAGGGAGGGAAGGAAGGAAGGAAGGAAGGAGGGAAGGAAGGAAGAAAGGAAGGAAAGAAGGAAGGAAGGAAAGAAGTGAGGGAAATGAAGGAAGGGAAGGGAACTAGGTGCGGTAGCCCATCAAGTGGTCATGCCTGTAGCCAGCCAGGTTTGGAGGGAAGTTGTCATCTTTTTCAGAGCTGGGAGCCCAGCCTCCTGGGTCCCTGCCTTCCCTCCTGCTGTGTGGCAACCAGGGTTATACAACAGCTTGGGGAAACTTTTAATAATAGAACGTGCCCACCAGCTTGCTTTGGGCCACTGCAAAGCAGGGAGGGAGCCAGGAGGGAGCCAGGTTTGAATGTGAGAGGGGCCTTTGGGATGGTCTTTGCAACTTCTGCTTCTCAACTGGGAAAGCCAGGATCTCGAAAATCTGATCTCATAGCTCCTGAATCCAGCCCAGAGTTCTAGAAAGTACTCGGCTACTCCGTGCCAGTATTCCAGAGTGCATTCTCTCAAATCTCTGAGCCAATGGGCTTTCTGGGGCCTTCTACGTTGTCATACCAAGGAAAGATTCTGGCCAGAGAGCCCCAGAGAACAGTTTTATGAAAGGCTGGGGTCAGAGCACGGAACCAATCCTGTTTTATACAAAAGAAGCCTGGTGATGTTGAGTATGTGCCATGTGCCAGGCAGTATGCTAAGAATTCTACATAGACCCACACCTTCAACAGCCCTTCTTGTCTCTGTTGGACATAATTTTGTTCCCTCTCTTGCTAGTTGTGACCTTAGGCAAGTCCCTTCATTTTTCTAAACTTCCATTTCTGTTTGACATCAGAAAGATGAGGGGACTTGGCCAAAGTCACAGAGCTAGTAAGAAGGAAAGCCCAATGTGTCCATTCACAAACATTTCCTTAATGTATGAACACCTATTACTATTTGGGGCAGCGAGTGGGAAGAGCTGATGAAGATTCTAATAGAACTCGTGGTTTGTCTTGACAGATAACCTGGATCACTTAGTAATGGCTGCCTGGTGGGTTGCATCCTGGATCTAAGTGGAAAGAGTGCCGGGACTGTTTAGTAATGTCTGCCGTGGGATCAGCCATGGGGAACTAAATATTTGCCATGCCTGGAATTGGAAATACCAGAGGGAAAAGAGGGAGGGAGAGACAACAACTTACAGTTCAAGGAAAACTCTTTGGTGATGGCAGAGGTGCTCTGAGAGGGAAGGGATGGACTGTGGCTGTGAAGATGTGTGTGGTGTTGCATCCACCCAAACTGAAGATCTCTGGAGATAGAACAGCAGGCTAGAGAGTGCACAGGCCCTGGATTAAATAAAATTTTTGATTTTTTGTTTGTTTCTTTTTCTTTTCTTTTCTTTCTTTTTTTTTTTTTTTTAAGACAGAGTCTCACTCTGTCACCCAGGCTGGAGTGCAGTGGTGTGATATCAGCTCACTGCAGCCTCCACGCCCCAGGTCCAAGCAATTCTCCTGTCTCAGCCTCCCGAGTAGCTGGGATTACAGGCATGTGCCACTATGCTGGGCTAATTTTTGTATTTTTAGCAGAGACAGGGTTTTACCATGTTGGCCAGGCTGGTCTTGAACACCTGACCTCAAGTGATCTGCCTGCCTTGGCCTCCCAAAATGCTGGGATTACAGGCATGAGCCACCACACCCGGCCTGTTTTTTTGTCTTTAGAGACAGGGTCTTACTCTGTCACCCAAGCTGGAGTGCAGTGTCAGTGATCATGGTTCACTGCAGCCTCAATTTCCTGGGCTCAAGTGATTCTCCCACCTCAGCCTCCTGAATAGCTGGGACCACAGGTGTGTGCCACCACACCCAGCTAATTTTTAAAATTTTTTGTAGAGATGGGGTCTCACTATGTTTCCCAGGCTGGTCTTGAACTCCTGGGCTCAAGCAATCCTCCCACCTCGACATCCCAAAGTGCTGGGATTACAGGCATAAGCCATCCTTGCCCAGCGTGAAAGAAATTTTGTATTCAAATTCTGGCTCAGTCATTTATTTGACCTGTGACCTGGGGCATATCATGTGACCTCTCTGAACCTCAGTTTCCTCTTTTGTAAAATGAGGAGAAGGCTATTGGGATGATTGCTGAGTGCCTACTCTTGACATGTGGAGCCCTGACTGAGGGAGGCAGTGTTGTCAGCACCACCGCCTTACAGGACCCTGGGGATGGCGTTCACTGTATTGTCTGTGTAAGTGGCGCCCCCTGGTGCACCAACATGAATGGCGTTTCCTGGAATTGTGCAACATGGCAGACTGGATCATGAAACAGAGGCCGGGAGAGGTTAAACCACTTGCCCGAGTCACATCGCAGAGGTGGGATTTGAGATCAGGTCTGTCTGCCTCCACCGCCCAAGCCTATAACCAGCATGCCCTCCTGCCTACTACCAATTTACCACATCTGCAACAGTTCAGCATCCGTGACTGCTTGAATGTCGGGAGACCGCTTCAGCTGTGTAACCTCCTCACGTGGCTCTTCCCACAAGAGTGTGCAACAAATGAGCTCACGCCTGCAAAAATCTCTAGGACACTCCCTTGAGTGTGGTGGCCACTCGGGCAGGGAGGGCTGAGCGTAAAAATCAGAACAGTGAGGAGGAGGCTTGCTGGGAGATTGCCCCCACTTGAAGTTAAGTGTGAGAGGGGAAATCCTAAGAGAGAGAGGTGACAGCCCTCCCCGGAGCATTTTCTTTCTTTCTTTCTTTTTTAAACTTTTTAAATTAAAAATAATTTTTTTTAAGACGAAGTCTCATTCTGTCGCCCAGGCTAGAGTGCAGTTAGCAGGATCTCAGCTCACTGCAACCTCCACCTCTCTGGTTCAAGCGATTCTCCTGCCTCAGCCTTCAGAGTAGCTGGGACTACAGGTGCATGCCACCATGCCCAGCTAATTTTTGTATTTTTAGTAGAGACGGGGTTTCACCATGTTGGCCAGGCTGGTCTCGAACTCCTGACCTCAAGTGATCCACCCACCTCAGCCTCCCAAAGTGTTGGGATTACAGGTGTGAACCACCACGCTGGCCCCCAGGGCATTTTCAATAAAAGGGAAAAGCCCAGGAGGCCTTGGCCCAGAGGCAAAGAAGTAAAGGGAGCCGGGCAAACAATGTAGGGAGTGGTGGGAGGCGTGCTCAGCTCCCAAAAGGACTGCTGGGTCTCCAGATGTATCAGTTAGGGTCCCCTGGAGACAGTCACATGGGAGTGACAAGCGAGTGTGTGGGCAGGATGGGGAGAGCCAGCAGGGATGGCGAAGTGCCTGGGACTGGCAAGTGCAGGGGAAAGACTGTTCTGGAGTCTGAGATCAGAAGCTGTGAGAGAGGGGCTCCCTGATAGGAGCTCTCAATAGAGGAATAGCTACCTGCATCTGACAGCGCGGGGCAGCCTCCACAACCTCATGGACTGAGCGCCGGGAGATGGAATGACCCTCCAGAGGGAAATTGATGTGCTCTTACAAGAAGGCGGAAAAAGACAACAGCGGGTCCTTACACAGCCCTGAACAGGATAATTTTTCTTTTCTTTTCTTTTCTTTCCTTTTCCTTTTCCTTTTTTCTTTTCTTTTCTTTTCTTTTCTTTTCTTTTTTCTTTTCTTTTCTTTTCTTTTCTTTTCTTTTCTTTTCTTTCTTTCTTTCTTTCTTTCTTTCTTTCTTTCTTTCTCTTTCTTTCTTTCTTTTTTTTCTTTCTTTCTCTCTCTCTCTCTTTCTTTCTTTCTTTTTTTGAGACGGAGTCTTGTTCTGTCGCCCAGGCTGGAGTGCAATGGCATGATCTTGGCTAACTGCAACCTCCGCCTCCCGGGTTCAAGTGATTCTCCTGTCTCAGCCTTCCGAGTAGCTGGGACTACAGGTGCCCACCATGCCTGGCTAATTTTTGTGTTTTGTTTTGTTTTGTTTTTTGAGATGGAGTCTCACTCTGTTGCCCAGGCTGAAGTGCAGTGGCACGGTCTCTGCTCACTGCAACCTCCGCCTCCCAGGTTCAAGCAATTCTCCTGCCTCAGCCTCCCAAGTAGCTGGGATTACAGGCACGCACCACCATGCCTGGCTAATTGTTGTATTTTTATTAGAGATGGGATTTCACCATGTTGGCCAGGCTGGTCTCAAACTTCTGACCTCAAGCGATCCACCTGCCTCGGCCTCCCAAAGTGCTGGGATTAAGGTGTGAGCCACCGTGCCTGGCCAATTTTTGTATTTTTAGTAGAGATGGGGTTTCATTATGTTGGCCAGGCTGGTCTCGAAATCCTGACCGCAAGTGATCCACCCACCTTGGCCTTTCAAAGTGCTGGGATTACGGGCATGAGCCACCACGCCCAGCCCAAACAGAATAATTTCAGAACATGCTGGCAGCTCTCAAGTTTTTTTAGTTTGATGACTATTGATTTGATCAGCTTTTATTTTCTGGGACATTAAATTGTATGGAATTTGGTGGAAGTTTAAAAGGGCACAGATTCTGGGCAGGGTGGGTGGCTGGGGGGAGGGGGCCAAGGGCTGAGGCCATGGGTGTTTAACTACAGCTCTTCCTCAGGTGGCCTTTGTGTTCAAGCCACTGATGCTCCCAGAAGGTGAAAAACGCACCATCCCCAAACTCCCTGCCGTTATTAATCAGCAAACGTGTCAGGGGCAGGTGCGCATGAGTGAATTTTGGGGTCACAGAGGGTAATCAGGTCTGGCCGGGCTGAAGCAGGTGACCCGACTGTCCGCCTGATCCTGAGCTATTGGATAAGGAGATTAATCTAATTCTGTCTGAGGAGAGGATGGCTTTTTGAGAAAGCGTGGGACTCAGAAAATGAAAGTTGGATTTAGACCTCAGGCTAAATTCCCAGCTCCGGGGCCAGCGTGACCTGAAGCGTGTTCCCTGGGTATCTTTTGGCAAGGCTGTCATTGTGCTTGAGCACCCAGTATGTGAGGGAAGAAAACACAGAGCTCAAAGGGGCCTGGGAGGAATGGAAATAGGAAATTGGGGCGGGAGCTGGGGCGAAGTGGGGAGTCCATGCCCTCCTCGAGGGGTTAATTAAGACCCAGTGCTAGCTGACCGTCATGCCTAGAGTCAGACATTTGGGGTTCAGATCCTGGTTCTGCCCTTTACTCGTCGTGTGACACTGGACAAGTCACTTCACCTCCTTGTGCCTCAGTTTTCTCATCTGTAAAACTGAACAATAGCAGAACCCATCTTGGCCGGGTGCAGTGGCTCACACCTGTAATCCCAGCTCTTTAGGAGGCTGAGATGGGTGGATCACCTGAGGTCAGAAGTTCAAGACTGGCCTGGCCAACATGGTGAAACCCTGTCTCTACTTAAAATACAAAAAAAAAAAAAAAAAAAAAAAAATTAGCCAGGCGTGGTGGTATACATCTGTAATCCCAGCTACTTGGGTGGCTGAGGCAGCAAAATCGTTTGAACCCGGGAGGCGGAGGTTGCAGTGAGCCGAGATCATGCCATTGCACTCTAGCCTGGGTGACAGAGTGACACCCACTCAAAAACAAACAAAAAAAACAGAACCCATCTCACAGAGTTGTTCTGAGGGCTGAGTGGGTGAAAGTTCTGCAAGTGCTTAGAACAGTGTGTGGTGCATAGTAAAAAGTATTATATGCCAGGCGGGGTGGCTCGCACCCATAATCCAGCACTTTGGGAGGCCGAGGTGGGAGGATCACTTGAGCTCAGGAGTTCGGGACCAGCCTGGTAACCTAGGGAGACACTGTCTCTACTTAAAAAAAAAAAAAAAAAAAATTAGCCGGGCATGGTGGCGCATGCCTGTGGTCCAAGGTACTCAGGAAGCTGAGGAGGGAAGATAACCTGAGCCTGGAAGTTCAAGGCTACAGTGAGCTGTGATCACGCCACCACATGCCAGCCTGGTGACAGAGTGAGACCCTGTTTCAAAGAAAAAAGGCATTATTTATAACATTTGCTAAATAAATTAGGTAAATAAGAATGTAACCCTTTTTGTTGCCAGATCTTCTAATCTTTCGAGGAAAGTGAATCTGGAAATCCAAATTTTCATAATCCTATTAATGCCAAACACTCAGGCAGTTCCAAAACACCTTAATATGTTAAATATTAACAAAACGTTATGACGTAGATATGGTTATTACTCCCATTCTACAGATGGGGAAACTGAGGTACAAAGATGTCACATAATGAGTGCTGGGCTGGGCGTGGTGGCTCATGTCTGTAATCCCAGCACTTTGGGAGGCAGAGGCAGGCGGATCACTTGAGGTCAGAGTTCAAGACCAGCCTGGCCAACATGGTGAAACCCCGTCTCTACTAAAAATACAAAATTAGCCGGGTGTGGTGGTGCGCACCTGTAATCCCAGCTCCTCAGGAGGCTGAGGTAGGAGAATCACTTGAATTTGGGAGGTGGAGGTTGTATTGAGCTGAGATCACACCACTGCACTCCAGCCTGGGTAACAAGAGTGAACAAACAAACAAACGTGTTAAAATTATACTAGTTATTGGTAACTGGGATATAGGGTGACCAACTGTTCTGATTTTCCTGGGACTGTCCCTAGTTTTTGCACTGTCAGATCCACGTCCCAGGAAACCCTTCAGTCCAGGAAAATCAAGACTGTTCATCAGCCTAGGTTGAAACCTGGTCAGTGCGGCCCCAGCATCCTGCCCTTCACTACTGCGCTCCATTTTCTCTTGTGTGAATGCTCTGGATTTTTAAATGTTGGTCCCTGTGAGCCAAACGAACAAGTTGCAATTCTTGAAAGACTGATGCTTCGTGACATTAGATTTCCCACTTGTTATACAGGTGGGCCTCAGTTTCCTCACCTGTAAAGGGGGAAAATCATAATCTAGACCTCATAGGGTTCTTGTGAGCATTAAATGAGTTCATAGATGCGGAGCGCTTAAAGCCATGCCTGGAACAAAGAAAGTGCTTTATAAAAGTTTGTGCTCATGATTTGTGGTTGTTGTTGTTGTTGTTGTTGTTGTTGTTTGTTTCTTTTCTTTCTTTCTTTCTTTTTTTTTTTTTGAGACAGAGTCTCATTCTGTTTCCTAGGCTGGAGTGCAGTGGCATGATCTTGGCTCATTGCGACCTCCACCTCCCAAGTTCAAGCAATTCTCCTGCCTCAGCTTCCTGAGTAGCTGGGACTACAGGTGCACGCCACCAAGCCCAGCTAATTTTTGTATTTTTAGTAGCAATGGAGTTTTGCCATGTTGGCCAGGCTAGTTTTGAACTCCTGACCTCAAGTGATCTGCCTCAGCCTCCCAAAGTGCTGAGATTACAGGCATGAGCCACTGTGCCTGGCCTATGATTGTTGATAAATACATTCTCAAGATTCTCTCAGACTTTCTGAATCAAAATCTCCAGCCATGTCTCTGTGACTGGCCCCCAGTAAAAACCCTGGACACCAAGGCATGGGTGAGTCTTCCTGGTTGGCAATGCCTCTGACGTGTTGGTGTACATCATTGCTATTTGTTGTTTTTGTTATTTGTCACTTATAATTAAGTGATGTTTGTAAGAGTCCACAGGGAAAGGACAACTGGAGGCTCATATCTGCTCTCTGTGCCTTTAGTCTTTACTGATTTTGATCTGTACCCTCTCACTGTAGTAAACTATAACCATGAATATGACAGCTTTTCTAAGTTCTGGGGGTCCTTCTATGGAATCATTGAACCTGGGGTTGGTCTTGGGCAGCCATCTTGGAGCATATCTATTATAAAAGTTGGGAAAGTGGGAGATTTGCCTCTCATGGTCTTCTCCTTTTTGGGAAGAGACTCCCTGCAGAGATCTCCGTATGCCTCATTTGCCTGAAAGGATATGCCCATCCCTTGACTAATATGTTGGGTATGGTTTAGCTCAAATTAATCCATCCCCAGGACTAAGGAAGAAGTGTAATGGCAAGTGGGCAGGCAACTAAAAGTGACTTCTGTGCTGATGGGGTGGGTGCAGTCATTACCTTCACCTTGCAGATGAGGAAATGAGGCCCAGAGAGGTAAAGTGTCTTGCCCAAGATCTCATTGCTAGCTAGTGGCAGCCCAGGTCTTCCTGACTCCAGAGCCTATGTCCGGATGCTGTGATGTACCACTGCACCCAGCTTGGTGCCCTACAAACAGCAGACTCTATGGAAATGAGTTAGGGAAACAAAGATGCACGGCAGAGGGCCCAAGAAGAGGAAAGCGGCACCTGTTTCCTCCTAGCTATGCTGGCAGGGCATGGAAACATCTCTTTTTATTTATCAAGAGAAACAGCTTGATGTCTCATTTTTAAAAAAACAAAATGAGGAAAAATGATTGTTTTTAATGTTGTCTGTGATTTGAGCTGGTTGCCCAAGAAGTGTGGGAGAAGCTCTCTTAGGGTGAAAATTGCTCTCTTATTTAGGAAACCATCTGGATGAGACATTTTAGTTTCGGAGGTGATCCTTCCTAGCTCCTTCCATTTTCCCCGAGCCAATCTAGCAGAATCAGGAGATGAAAAGGGTTTCTTTTTTTCTTTTTCTTTTTTTTTTTTTTTTTGAGATGGAGTCTCACTCTTTTGCCCAGGCTGGAGTGCAGTAGCTTAATCTCGGCTCACTGCAACCTCCACCTCCCGGGTTGAAGCAATTCTACTGCCTCAGCCTCCCAAGTAGCTGGGATTATAGGTGCCTGCCACCACACCCGGCTAATTTTTTTTGTATTTTTTTTAGTAGAGATGGGGTTTCACCATGTTGGCCAGGCTAGTCTCGAATTCCTGACCTCAGGTGATCCACCCGCCTTGGCCTCCCAGAGTGCTGGGATTACAGGCGTGAACCACCGCATCCAGCCAAAAAGGGGTTAAATGTATCAGCATATTGTGCTAACCAGGATTCCGATTTTTGGATGGTCCAGAAGAGTGGGCAGTGTAGAGTTAGCCTGAGTTATTCTCAGTTGCCTCATCTGTAAAATGGGGATAATGTGGGTATCTACCCTGTGGGGTTGTTACAAGAATGTTGGCCAGGCGCGGTAGCTCACACCTGTAATCCCAGCACTTTGGGAGGCTGAGATGGGTGGATCATTTGAGGTCAGGAGATCAAAACCACCCTGGCCAACATGGTGAAACCCTGTTTCTAATAAAAGTACAAAAATTAGCCGGGCATGGTAGTGGGTGCCTGTAATCCCAGCTACTTGGGAGGCTGAGGCAGAAGAATTGCTTGAGCCTGGGAGGTGGAGGTTGCAGTGAGCCGAGTGCACCATTGCACTCCAGCCTGGGTGACAGAGTGAGATTCCATCTCAAGAAAAAAAAACAAAAGAATGTTTAAGTAAGTTATTGTATGAAAGGTGCTTAGAACAATGCCTGGCACATAGTAAGTGTTCAACCACTGTTACTACTACTGCTACTATTATTATTGCCATTGCTATTATCATGGAAGAGAGAGATTTTGATTTTCTATGGAGGGGACAGGAAGCTATAGGGGGTGAGTGGTGATCAGGGCCTAAAGAGAAAGATATTCAAGGGAGAAATTCACTGCCGTGGAGGAAGATTGTAGAACTTTATTAGTCGACTATATTAGCAGTTATGTAGGTTGCTAAATCTAAAACCTGAAAAAGAGTCGGCCGGGTGCGGTGGCTCATGCCTGTAATCCCAGCACTTTGGGAGGCTGAGGTGGGTGGATCACCTGAGGTCAGGAGTTTGAGACCAACCTGGCCAACATGGTGCAACCCTGTCTCTACTAAAAATACAAAAATTAGCCAGGCGTGGTGGCACACGCCTGTAGCCTGTAATCCCAGGTACCCGGAGGCTGAGACAGGAGAATTCCTTGAACCCAGGAGGTGGAGGTTGCAATGAGCCAAGATCGTGCCACTGCACTCCAGCCTGGGCAAAAGAGTGAGACTCCATCTCAAAAAAAAAAAAAAAAAAATTAACACTTTATTTCTCTCAGATAAAAGAAGTCTGGAAGAGGTAGGAGTCTAGGACTGTTGGCTACCCAAAGTTATCAGGAAGCCACAATCCTTCTATCCCTATGCTTATTATGGTTACAAGATGACTGCTGGAGCTCCAGCCATTATATCTACTTTTTAGGCAGGAAGGGAGATAATGGTGAAAGAAGGAAAGAGAGAGCATGCCAGCTCAGTCAGCCTGTTTTTAGGAGATTTCTTGGAAGTGTCATTCTTAGGTCCCATTCTCCCAGAAGACCCTGAACCAAAGATCCAGATGCAAATGATTAATTCGGGAAATGCTGTCAGGGGAAACTGGTCAGGGAGTGAAAGAAGCAGAATGAGGAAAAGGAACCCGCCAAGCAAGGGTGCAACTTCAGGGCAGCCTCAGCTGGATCCTTGGGGAGCTTGGGAGTATAAATTACATCTCAGAGTTTGTCCTGCCTCAAAGGAAAGGAACTGGGCCCCTGCATTTCAACCCAGCCATGGGCTGCCCAGAAGAGGTTGGGAGGAAGTAAATCTCCAGGAACTTCTGGCTTTCCATACAGCAGAGGTGGCACCATTGCCCAAATCTATGTTAGAAGCATAGAAAAGCTGCAGATGCTGGTGAACGTTTGCAGAGTTAGTAAAGGGTAGGCATCTGCTCAGGGCATCAGCAGAGCTCCTTCTACCCCACCCGCCATAGCTGCTGGTCCAGATCTTAGTCACATGGCTGTCCATTTCTGTAAAGGAGGCTGGGAGATGCAGTTTTTATTTTTTATTTATGTTTATTTTTTATTTTTTGAAATGGAGTCTTGCTCTGTCCCCCAGGCTGAAGTGCAGTGGCACGATCTCGGCTCACTGCAACCTCTGCCTCCCAGGTTCAAGCAATTCTCCTGCCTCAGCTTCCCAAGTAGTTGGGATTACAGGCACCTGTCACCACGCCTGGCTAATTTTTGTATTTTTAGTAGAGATGGGGTTTCACCATGTTGGCCAGGCTGGTCTTGAACTCCTGACCTTAAGCGATCCACCCACCTTGGCCTGCCAAAGTGCTGGGCTTACAGGCATGAGTCACCATGCCTGACTGAGATGTGGTTTTCAAAGCTGGGCATGTGCCATTCCCAGTAAAAGTAAGAAAAGAGAGGAAGGAGAGAGTAGATATTGAGGAGACAAACTGTCATGCTGAAGCTTCCATTTTCCCTTGAGGAGGAGGCCAGACAGACATGACCTTTGCTCGGAGCAGCTGGGCAGCACACGGGTACATATACTGCTTGGGGCACCAGGTCTCTGCTGCTGCCTCCAGATGGGCAGCCATTTGTTCTCCCCTGCCTTGCAGGGTCACAGCATGGCCTGCAATCTTCTCTTTTCCTCTCACTCTCCCGAGCTCTGTGAGCTCTACCCGTTCATAGCCTCAGCTGGGGAAAGTGGGACCATGACAGGGAGAGGAAGGTGGCACATAGAGGGAGGGAGAGAGCTCAGTTCTTTACTTTTTCAAAAAGATGAAACAAGGCTGAGGCAGGAGGATCACTTGAGCCTAGGAGGTTGAGGCTGTGCCGTGATTGCACCACTGCACTCCAGCCTGGGTGACAGATTGAGACCCTCTCTTGAAAAAAAAAAAAAAAGAAAAAGAAAAAGATGAGGCCAAGTGCAGTGGCTCCTGCCTGTAATCCCAGCACTTTGGGAGGCCGAGGTGGGTGGGTCACCTGAGGTCAGGAGTTCGAGACCAGCCTGGCCAACATGGTGAACCCCAACTCTACTAAAAATACAAACATTAGCCAGGTGTGGTGGCATGACCCTGTAATCCCAGCGACTAGGGAGGCCGAGGCAGGAGAATTGCTTGAACCCGGGAGGTGGAGGTTGCAGTGAGCCGAGATTGTGCCACTGCACTTCAGCCTGGGCAACAGAGTGACTTGGTCTCAAAAAATAAAAATAAAAAAAAAATAGAAATAAAATAAAAGATGAAAGCATTTGGCACAACTCCTGGTGCCAAATTGAAATTAATGCTGGCTTCACTCCCGGGCTGGTTCCCATCACTCTGCTGAAGGCACAGTCTCTGCAGCATTGAACCCAAGAAGGTCACTTACTTGTCACATGGGAAGGTGAGGAGTGGCTGTGACGGTCAGGGCTCCGAAGAAAACTGAATCCAACCCAGACAGTTCAAAAGACTTTAAAGAAGGACTTCTCTTAGAGTGTGGGCAGGGTTAAGGGAACAGAGAAGAGAGATTGAGGCACTGAGAGAATAGCAAGAGAAGGAAGCCATTGCCACACTAAAGGTAGGACAAGGCAGGAGAAGGAACTGATGTGATGGAAGCCCAGTGAGGGCTGGAGCTGGGGAGGGGGGCCATATAGACAGAAGCTGTAGCTACATAGGGATGTAGCGACTAGCAGGGACAGGATGTCAAAGTATGCAAGAACTTTGAAAGAAACGTCTCACATCTCTCTCACCCTGTCTGACTGGTCTCCTGCTGGTCTCTGTCATTGGCCACATTCAACCAGAAGACAGAAGGTAAGGGAGACCTTGAGTGATGTGGATCACACTGTCCACTTCTTGAGACACACAGCAGGAAGAGAAGAGTGGCAAATGAATTGGACAGAAGATGGACTAGACGACGAAAAACAATATGTACATACCATGCATATGCTTAATAGATGTGGGTATTTTATTTTATTTTGTATTAAACATTTTTAAATAGAGATGGGGGTCTCATTATGTTGCCCAGGCTGGTCTCTAACTCCTGGACTCAAGCGATCTTCCCACCTTGACCTCCCAAAGTGCTAGGATTATAGGTGCGAGCCACTGCACCAGGCCAGGTGTGGTTATTTTTACGTTTTTCGATGCTCTAGAATGTCCCATGAGTAGATAAGCCATAATTTACTTTAAAAATCCTCCTCTTGGCCATGGCGTGGTGGCTCACACTTGTAATCCCAGCACTTTGGGAGGCGGAGGTGGGCAGATCACAAGGTCAGGAGATCGAGACCATCCTGGCTAACACAGTGAAACCCTGTCTCTACTAAAAATACAAAAAATTAGCTGGGCGTGGTGGTGGGCACCTGTAGTCCCAGCTACTCGGGAGGCTGAGACAGGAAAATGTCATGAACCCAGGAGGCGGAGGTTGCAGTGAACAGAGATAGCGCCGCTGCACTCCAGCCTGGGCGACAGAGCAAGACTCCATCTCGAAAAAAAAAAAAAATCCTCCTCTTGTTCATCTGTCTAGAAAACTTTTGTATCGGAGTACAATACACACATATAAAGGGGTCCATATCAGAAGTGTATGGCTGGATGAATTTTCACAAATGAATTGATTATGTAACCAGATCAAGAAACAGAATATCTGCAGCCCTGAAAGCCTCTTGATTTCCCTTCCAGTTATTTCTTCTCTATCCCCCTCTACCATATAACCTCTATTCTGACTTCTAAAGGCAAAGTTAGCTTCCCCTAATTTTGTGCTTTATATGAATGGCATTTTTCAGTATGAGCTCTTCTGGGCTTGGCTTTTTTCATTCCAAGTGTTTATTTTGTTGATTTTTACTTATTTCCACTTGCCTATGTAGAGATGATTTTACAATCGGCATCTTTGTATATATGGATTTTTTTTGCCTTTGGCTTATTTTCTTTTTCTTTTTAAAAAGTGCAATGCTGTTAATGTAACTTGAAAAATACCTCAGCATTCTAAACATACAAAATAAAGAAGATTCTTCTTCTTCTTCTTCTTCTTTTTTTTCGACATGGAGTCTCACTTTGTTGCCCAGGCTGGAGTGCAGTGGCAAGATCTTGGCTCACTGCAACCTCCCCCTCCTGGGTTCTAGTGATTCCCCTGCCCCAGCCTCCCGAGTAGCTGGGATTACAGGTGCCTGCCACAACGCCCGGCTAATTTTTTTTTGTATTTTTTTTTTTTTTTTTTTGAGACGGAGTCTAGCTCTGTTGCCCAGGCTGGAGTGCAGTGGTGGGATTTCGGCTCACTGCAAACTCTGCCTCCTGGGTTCACGCCATTCTCCTGCCTCAGCCTGGCTTTTTTTGTTTTTTTAGTAGAGGCGGGGTTTCACCTTGTTAGCCAGGATGGTCTCAATCTCGTGATCCGCCTGCCTCGGCCTCCCAAAGTGCTGGGATTACAGGCGTGAGCCACCATGCCCAGCCTTTGTTTGTATTTTTAGTAGAGATGGGGCTTGCCATGTTGGCCAGGCTGGTCTCGAACTCCTGACCTCAGGTGATCTTCCTACCTCAGCCTTCTAAAGTGCTGGGATTATAGGCATGAGCCGCTGCGCCCGGCCTGATTCTTGAACTTTCACTGATGGGTGGCTCTTTGTTTGCTGACAAGGAAGAGTTCTGTAGTTTGTTTAAAACAAAATTTAGGCCAGGTGCAGTGGCTCATGTCTATAATCCCAGCACTTCGGGAGGCCGAGGTGGGAGGATCATTTGAGGCCAGAGGTTCAAGACCAGCCTGGCCAACACAGACCCTGTCTCTGTTAAAAAAAAAAAAAAAAAAGCCAGGTGTGGTGTAGTTCCAGCTCCTCAGGAGGCTGAGGTGGGAGGATCACTTGAGGCTGGAAGGTCAAGGCTGCAGTAAGCTATGACTGCACCACTGGACTCCAGTGTAGGTAACAGAGGGAGACCCTTTCTCGAAAAGAAAAAAAAAGGCTGGGCATGGTGGCTCACGCCTGTAATCCCAGAACTTTTTTAGGAGGCCGAGGCGGGTGGATCACCTGAGGTCAGGAGTTTGAGGCCGGCCTGGCCAACATGGCGAAGCCCTGTCTCTACTTAAAAATACAAAAATTAGCCAGGCGTGGTTGTGGGCACCTGTAATCCCAGCTACTCAAGAGGCTGAGGTAGGAGAATCGCATGAACCCGGGAGGCGGAGGTTGGGGTGAGTTGAGACCGCACCATTGCACTCCAGCCTGGGCAACAAGAGCGAAACTCTGTCTCAAAAAAACAAAAAACAACCAAAAAACCCCCAAACACTTCTCATGCCAGCTGATCCCACTTTGTCCACAGCTAAGAATGGCAGCAGAATGCTATGTCACTCTATACAGAAACAAGACCACCTGAAGCTAAATAGATGCTCACCACGGAGTCAACAGGTCCTGTCTCACAGTGCACGCCCTGAGCTACCACTCCTCCGAAAGCCATCTTCCCCCACGGCCTCATTGCCAAGTGAGGAACATCAAGAGTTTGTCTTGGTTGTTTTGTTCTTTTTTACAAACTATGGATATGTACAGTTGATAACTCAGGATTTCTAGCCAATAACCGTATAGTTAACATCGTCTTAGAATTTAAAAAAATGTCAGAAACATCTTTAAATGCCTTGCCATACCATCAAAGGGCACAGAGAGAGGAGAACACAAGAGTGCCTTTGCATTTTAAAAATCTTTGACTTGGCCGGGCATGGTGGCTGATGCCTGTACTCCCAGGAGTTTGGGAGGCCAAGGCAGGTGGATCATGTGAGGTCAGAAGTTCGAGACCAGCCTAGCCAACATAGCAAAACCCCATCTCTATTAAAAAATGCAAAAATTATCTGGGTGTGGTGGCGCACACCTGTAGTCCCAGCTACTTGGGAGGCTGAGGCAGGAGAATCGCTTTAATCTGGGAGGTGGAGGTTGCAGTGAGCCGAGATAGTGCTACTGCACTCCAGCCTCAGCAACAGAGGGAGACTCTGTCTCAAAAAAAAAAAAAATCCCCAAGTTTGACTTATTTTCTTAGGATGAATCTCCACATTTAGGTTTCCTGGGTTGAAGAATATAAACATTTTTATAACTCTTGCTGTGTGAGGCCAAAATGTTTTCTGAAGAATCTACACCTGTGTCAGAAGTCTGTCACTGAGATAATGAGTGGCACTTATCTTATGGATTAGTACTGTTTTTACTTATTTTGTTTGTTTGTTTTTTGAGATGGAATCTCTCTCTGTTACCTAGGCTGGAGTGCAGTGGTATGATCTCAGCTCACTGCAACTTCCACTGCCCGGGTTCAAGTGATTCTCCTGCCTCAGCCTCCCAAGAAGCTAGGACTACAGGCACGCACCACCATACCCAGCTCATATTTGTATTTTTAGGAGAGATGGGGTTTCACCATGTTGGCCAGGCTGGTCTTGAACTCCTGACCTCAGGTGATCTGCCTGCCTTAGACTCCCAAAGTGCTGGGATTACAGGTGTGAGCCACCGTGCTCAGCCCTGTTTTTATTTTGAATGCCATGGGTGGGGTAAAATATTTCACAATCTTTGCAGACTTTAAAGTTCTCCATTTGGTCCTGGCAGTCTCAATAAATCAAGGCTCAGAGAAGTCTATTTGCTTTTCTAGGGGCACACAGCAAACCAGTGGCAGATCCAGGACTCCAGCATTCTGTCCACTGCGCCATTGTGCCTCACTGTGTTACAGGAAAGGGATCCGGATCCAGACCCCAAGAGAGGGTTCTTGGATCTCCTGCAAGAATGAATTCAGAGTGAGTCCATAGAGTAAAGTGACAGCAAGTTTATTAAGAAAGTAAAGGGATAAAAGAATGGCTACTCCATAGACAGAGCTGTCCCGAGGTCTGCTGATTGCCCATTTTTATGGTTATTTCTTGATGATATGCTAAACAAGGGGTGGATTATTCATGTCTCCCCTTTTTAGATCATATAGGGTAACTTCCTGACATTGCCATGGCATTTATAAACTGTCATGACGCTGGTGGGAGAGCAGCAATGAGGACGACCAGAGAACACTCGTCGCCATCTTGTATTTGGTGGATTTTAGCCAGCTGCTTTTCTGCAAACTGTTTTATCAGCAAGGTCTTTATGATCTGTATCTTGTGCTGTCCTCCTATCTCATCCTGTGACTTAGAATGCCTTAACCGTTTAGGAATGCAGCCCAGTAGGTCGTAGCCTTATTTTACCCAGCCCCTACTCAAGATGGAGTTGCTTTGATTCAAATGCCTCTGACAATTGGAAGGGAGGCCAAGAGGGGTGCAATTCTGGATCCCACTAGGAAGGAATTGGAAACTTTGGATGTCAACAATGGCCACGGTCTCTGTATCTGATAGTTCTTTTTTCTTTCCTGCCTCAGTTTATTTGTACAAAGAGCACAGGAGGACAATAGTCCCGTGGGGTTGACAGCCCAGGGGTTACACCAGTCCTTCCATCCTGGCCTGAGCTGGAAGTGAAGCTGGACCCCAAGCCTTGGTTTGATCCTTGGCCTTGGCCTTTGGCCGACAGAGCCTGAGACGCTTGGCAGTGCCAGCACAAGGCAGGAGAATCACTTGAACCTGGGAGGCAGAGGTTGCAGTGAGCTGAGATCTCACCACTGCACTCCAGTGGGGTGATGCAGGCAGGTTGATGGAGCTTCCCAAGCTTGGAGTGGGTGATGCAGGCAGGTCGATCAAGCTTGTGGCTGATGCCCTTTGGGATCTTGGGCTTAGCCTCCTCGGGCTTTGCCAGGGCCTTGATAGCCTCGGCACGTGCACCCATGGCCTTGGCATTGTTGGCCTGCATCTTCTTCAGGCTCTTTTTGTTGTGCTTCTTGGCAAAGCGCATGTTCCTCAGGAACTTAGGGTCCACCCCCTAAAGAGATTCATATCTTTGCGATCAGAATTTGTTTTTTGTTTGTTTGTTTGAGACAGAGCCTCCCTCGGTCACTCAGGCTGGAGTGCAATGGTGCAATGTCAGCTCACTGTAACCTCTGCCACCCAGGTTCAAGCGATTCTCCTGCCTCAGCCTCCTGAGTAGCTGGGACTACAGGTGCATGCCATCATGCCCGGCTAATTTTTTTGTATTTTTAGTAGAGACAGGCTCTCACCATGTTGGCCAGGCTGGTCTCAAAGTCCTGACCTTTAGTGATCTTTCCACCTTGGCCTCCCAAAGTGCTGGGATTACAGGTATGAGTCACCATACCCGGCCTGTGATCAGAATTTTTTGAGGCCATTTCTGTGCTGTTTTTGGGACTGGTTGTCCGCAGTGTGGTTCTTGGACTTGGCCATGTCTGCACCGTAACCTGCAGCCCCTGAAGCACCTGGTTCTGGAAGGGGAAGTCTGTATCTGATAGTTCTTGGTTGCAAACAACAGAATCCTCTCCAGCTGGCTTAAGTGGACGTGGAATGCATTGAAGGCCATTAGGCAGTCCATAGATGATCTGGTGGGCTTGGTGGCTCTGCAGCGGGAACAGAACTCACCTCCCTCCACCTGTGGGCCCATGCGCTTCAGCTTACACCACGGACTCTGAGGACTGGAGGCATTCGGCCAGCACCTGCCCCAAGTTCTCCCAGCGGACTTCCCCTCTCACTGGCCACCCTGAGATCTCAGGTGGGCTCGATGAGATCTTGAGACCTGTGAGATCCAGGGTCCTCCACCCAAGTCTAGAATAAAAATCAGGACTTTGCTAGCAAGGAAAACCTGAGGAAGGGCTTTGTGCACGGTCTGCCTGTGCGGCCACGGCAATGTAGACTTGGCAAAAGAAGGCTACCCTGGCCTGACTTCACACAGTCTGTTGGCTCCAGCACCCAACACCTCATGAACCTATTCATCAGTCCTTTGTTTCCCAGGGAATTTTGTGTCCAGATTCCACTTCCTGGGAAAGGAGCTCTGATTGGTTTAACTTGCGTGAGGTGTTCTCTTCTTGTCCAATCCGCCACAGAAGGAAGGAGGATTGGGGGACCTCAAATACCACAGGCGTGGAGATTAGGCCACTCAGCAGGGCAGGGGAAGATGGAAGGGGCTGGAGTGGCCTCCTTCGCTGAGGAACAACAACAGTTTATTTGTTACCAAGAAAACAAATGAAGTGGGACTAATGGCACCAGTGAAGTTGAGGCACCCATACTTTTTTTTCCCCAAAATGATTTGTTATGTTATTCAATACACATGACAGCAGAAGTTGGAATCCAGACTACTTGACACTTAGCTTGTGGATCAGTACTGTTTTTATTGAATGTCATAGGTGGGGTGAAATGTTTCACAACCTTTGCAGACTTTAAAGTTCTCAATTTGGTCCTGGCAGTCACAAGAAATTGAGGCTCAGAGAGGTCTGTTTGCTTTTCTCAGGGTGCAAAGCAGAGCAGTTCTCTCCATTACACTACTGCGCCCTCCCTGCCTGTGCCCCCTTTTCTAAAATTTTTTTTATTTTTTATTTTTCTGAGACAGGGTATTGCTCTGTCACCCAGGTTGGAGTGCAGCGGCATGATCATAGCTCATTGCAGCCTCGAACTCCCAGGCTCAGGTGTTCCTCCTGTCTCAGCCTCCTGAGTAGTTAGGACTACAGGTGCATGCCACCATTCCCAGCTAATTTTTGTATTTTTTGCAGAGACAGAGTCTTGCCATGTTGCCCAGGCTGGTTTCGAACTCCTGGGCTCAAGCAATCAACCCACCTTGACCTCCCAAAATGCTGGGATTACAGGCATGAGCCACTGCGCCTGGCGAGAATTATTTTCACATTCCCTGTTGGGGACCACCTGACCATGGCCCCCTGGACCCACATCATTGGGCCAGGACATCAAATCTAGACTAGGACAATCGTATTCTCTTGGGAAGAGAGGAGGACATTGGAGCATCTCTTGGGAAGAGATGAGGAAGTTGAGATGAGGACATTGATTTTTTTTTTTTAAACTGAGTTCTAAAATGGGAACTTATAAGAAGCAAGATGGGAGGAAGAGGGGACAGCAGAGAAAATAGTCCTTAAAAAAAGAGGCCAAGTTGAGAGACCAGGTGGTTCCAGAGAGGGCTAGAGGGAGGAGCTGCCTTGGTTTCTGACAGCTTACTAGTTCTGGGTTCTTGTTCCTCATGGGATCTGCCTCCAACCTTTGTGAGATAGCCCTAACATTCATACGATGCAGCATGCTTTAGATGAAAGAAACAGAAACTGCAATCCACACTGGCTTAAAAAACAAGAAACGTATTCATTCACATAATAGGAAATGCAGAGTTCCTATTGTTCATAATGTGGGTTTCAGGCAAGGTATGATCAGGGTGCCAGCCACATTGTTCTGTAATTCTCCCTAGGCTCCTCCCTCCATCGTGTGTTAGCCTTGATCTCACACTGGCTTCCCTCATAGTTGCCAGAGGGCTGTCAGCAACATGAGGGGCAACATGCTTTCTTGTTTGCATCCATAAGGGTAGAAAAGCATCTCCCTCTACCCCAAGTTCTTCCTTTCTGTCTGATAGGCCACTGTCAGTTGCACGCCTATTCCTGGACCAGTAGAAGTTTCTGGGAGAATGCTATGCACTAATTGGCTTAAACTTAGATTCCCAGTCATTGGCAAGGAGGTGATGGGATGGCTGTGATTTGCTAACACTAATGGAGATCTACCTTGGAGGTGTGTGTAAAACTCAACTGCTCCTGGTTACATAGGCTCAATGGGGAAGGACTGTTACCTGAACAAATTGGGATTGGCTGGGAAGAAGGAAAGGGAAACAGATGAGGAGGCCAAAGAAAAAAATTCATTTTGAGATAGTTCGAGTGGGTTTCTGATTTTTGTAACCAAAGAGTCACTTGGACTGTCAGTTTTCTGGTCTGCGTCCAAATGCCTCTGCCTGGTCCCTCTGCGGCTTGGCTCTAATTTCCTCCTGTGTTCTGGAGGCTCTGCTGTCGCCAACATTTCCCACCGCTGGCTCATCGCTTTGGCAAGCTGGCATCTCACCCTGCTCCAAGTCCCGCTGATAAAGCAGAAGGTCCCTTTAGCAGAATCGATTCTGACATGTTCTAATTAAAAAAGCCTGATACGTCTCTGCATGGCGGCTGCTGAGAGCTGCGCCCATAAAGACAAAGAGAGTAAATTCGTCGGAGGAAGGTCTATTTTTAACAAGTCCTGAACCTAATTGAACTTAATCATTTTTCAGTCGTTGACACTTGAAATGTGTGAGTCATTGGGCTCTGCATGGAGCTGAGTGCTGGAGCAGCCCTTTAAATATCAGAGATGGGAGATATCAGCTTGCAGGGCTGCTCAGATTTGGGGCTGTGGTTTCAGTCAGGGTGTGGAAAAGCGTGGGGCTCCAGAGACAGGGAGCCTTGGGTTCAAATCCTGGCTGCTCCACTGACTGCAAAACTCGGTTTCTCTAAGTCTGTTTCCCCATCTGTAAAATGAGGATGGTCAAGTGTATCCAAAACACTTCATATGAATCATTTGGAGGCAAGGCCTGACATGTAGCTGTTCATAATCTATCCTTATCTTACTTGACATGAATATTGATGTTTCCTTGCAGAAACAGTAATTCGTTTGATCTGGACTGTGTGGCCCGAACCCTGTATGTAATATACTGTCCCACTGACTTCCCTCATGGTTACAACGTGGCTGCCAGCAACATTAGGGGCAACATACTCCCTTGCGTACCATATTATCTTTCTGAAACCAAAAACATGGTAAGTTCTTTTTTTTTTTTTTGAAACGGAGTCTCACTCTGTCACCCAGGCTGGAGTGAGTGTGATCTTGGCTCACGGCAACCTTTGCCTCCTGGGTTCAAGCAATTCTCCTGCCCTAGCCTCCCGAGTAGCAGAGACTACAGGCACCCACCGGGTGTGTGCCACCATGCCGGGCTAAATTTGTTATATTTTTAGTAGAAATACAAAAAAAAAAAAAAAAAAAAAAGAAATACACAGGGTTTCACCATGTTGGCCAGGCTGGTCTTGAGCTCCTGACCTTAAATGATCTACCTGCCTCAGCCTCCCAAAGTGCTAGGATTATAGGCATGAGCCAGCGCACCTGGCCTCCAAAATATGGTAAGTTCTAAAACACACATCCTGTCCCAAGAATTTACGGATGAAGTGGAGACCTTAGCAGGGCTGAGCTACTACAATCCACTCAGGGGGCTAGGAGTTAAAGTGGAAATCACATGGAATCAAAATTACTGTAGAAAACAGGTACCCCCAATAATTTTCCATTAATTCTGTGATTGTTTCTAGAGCTTAGCCCCAGAGAAAGTAGTTGACTTGTGTTTCAGGGCCGATTGTATGAAAAATGTGTATCTTTAAACCACTAAACTCCGTTAGGGCAGTGAAAAGCTCACTTGCCTGGATCACACTTGGGTTCCCGTGTTATGCTCACAGTGGGTGGGGGTCAGGTGGATGTTCTGAAGAAAATTCTCCTGCACTGATGAAGTTATTTTTCTCATGAAATATCTCTTTCCCCCCCCGCCCCAACATTTTTTTTTAATTTATTTTTACTTTATTTTATTTTTCAGAGTAGAAAAAACTGGGCTCCTTTGAGTTAGCTGCGTGTGAAGTCTGTACCTAGCAGGGCTGCTGTGAGCATGAGTGTAGGTGTAGGCTAAGAAGACGGTGAATGGGGTGTGAGTGGGGCGAGGTGGACCAGCGATTGCATGGCGTTGGCCGAGGGAGGGGCTAAGACTGTTGATTGACTCAAGAAGTCACTTAGCGTCATGAGGGTCCGGGTAGTCTGGTAAGGGGTCGCTGGAGAGTGTGTCGCCCCTCTCCCCCAACCAAAAGCTTCCCTCCAACCAGCTGCTCTTGTCCTCTCCTCCCGAGGGCCCTGTGCCCTCCCAGCGGACTTGCAGGGGAGAACGTCCATGTTTGTGCGAGTCACAAAGGCGCCCGTTCCAGGGGTCCCAGAACGCCCGGGCGTGGGGCTGGGGGTGTGGCGCAGCGAGGCCGCGCAGCAAGCAGTCCTCCCGGCACCGTCGGAAGCGCAGTTGCAGCAGCCGTCGGACAAGCGGCCGGAGCAGCCACGGACAAGCAGTCCGGGCCCCGCCACTGGTAAGTTTCGCCGCCCGCCCGGCCGCGCCTGCTGCGCCACAGCTCCCCCTGCCAGGGAAAAGGAAAGAGCGGTCGCGGTCCCCAGTCCATTCATATCTCGCTGCCCTAAGCGTTGAAAGTATCAGGGTCTCCCGCAATCATGCATAAATAAATTGTAGTGTGTAAAATAACTCCAGAGCCGCGCGAGGTGGCTCATGCCTGTAATTCTAGCACTTTGGGAGGCTGAGGCAAGAGGATCGCTTGAGCCCAGGGGTTCGAGACCAGCTCGGGCAAATTCGTCTTTACAAAATATTTAAAAACTTAGCCGGGCGTGGTGGTGCCACCTGTAGTCCCAGCTTCTTGGGAGGCTGAAGGGGGAGGATCGCTTAAGCCCGGGAAGGTTGAGGCTGCAGTGAGCCGAGATTGAACCACTGCACGCTAGCCTGGGTGACAGAGAGAGAGAGAGACGCTCTCAAAAAAGGAAAAAAAAAAAGTTCAACAAATTTTTATTTTCCTCCCATAATAATCCTTAAAAAACAAAAAACAAAACAAACAAACAAAAAACAAGAAAAACAACAACAACAACAAAAAACTGTGTATGTGTTTCTGTGCTCCTGTTTGGCTAGTGCCCTAAGCACATGTTTAATTCCAGGTTGTGCAGCCCTGGCTCAATATGATCCACATAGCTGCCTGTCCCAAGGTCCCTAGGGAATCCTTCGGGGGCAGGCTTGTCTTTTAAAGGCAGGTTGTTAAAATTCAGAAGCAGATGAGGTGCAGGCCTAATTAGATATTAGATAAATGAAGATGATCTCTGCCTGGAGGAAACTTCATTCATTCAAACTGTATTTGCCAAGAGCTGCCCATGCGCCCAGGACTATGGATGCTGTGGTGAATAGACTGAGGCCCAAGGGGCAGGAGGCCCTTGCCTGACGTCCCCTGACCTGGGCTGCTGGGCTTCTCTGCACTTTTCCTCGCACACGCTGTTCCCCAGAAGTGGGCAGCTTTTAGATTCCTAACAGGAACTGCAAATTCAAATTCCTACTGGCTCTAGGCAGTTACAGAAAATGTGAGAATTGTGGGGAGGGGAGCTTAGCCAATAGGGAGGAGTGGGGCCTGTGGCCAGGAGAGTGAGTGCATGACCCACATTTATGTTTTGAAACACTGTGGAACAGAACTGGAGGTAGGTTGAATTGGCCCCATGGACTATGAGTTTCAGACCCTTGAATGAGAGGGTGGTAAGCCAGGGGTCAGGACATCCAGGAGATGCTCTGCAGGCCAAGCTATGAGGATGGGGGTGAGGGGGTGGATCTGTTCCCCAGGGAATGTAGGAGCCCATCCCAGAGGGCACTGATCGAAAGGGAAAGGCCTGGGTTAACATCTGGAACCTGAAGAGAAGCCAGCACCCTAGGGGAGAGTGACTATGTATGCGCATATGGATCAGCAAAAAGGCAGGAGGTGATGGAGCTTTTGGTTCCTGGAGAATGGTGCATAACCCAGCCAATGATCTCATGGGCCAGACAGACTGGTACTTGAAAATCCCACTTCACAAACAGGCTACGTTCGCCCAGCGTCTGTCATGAGCTAGGCACTATGCTAACCACTTTACAGACATTATTTTGCGCTGAGATATGGGTGTGGGTATCCCCATTCTACAGATGAGGAAACTGAAGCTCAGAGAGGTCAAATCACACTGTCAGTGAAGGTCAGATATACCCAGTTCATGTTATTAAGATGGTGCATTACAAATCCACTTAGGACCCAAAGGGCCCTGGAACATAGAACAGCTCCTGGACAATATGAAATTGGAGCTGCCCCAAATTCCAGGGCTGAAAGAGGTCCCAGAGAGAGCATCCTGTGCCCAAACCTTGTTAGTCAGGTAAATCCTCCTACAGCTTCTACTCCTACCTGGAGGACCCTTCCAGAAATGATCAAGATACAGAACCATTGTCTTATACCACTTCCCTGCCTGTGGGAATTTCCCAACATCAGACAATTCAGTTGGCCCCCAAACCCTCAAAAACATCAGGGAAAATCCAGAGGTTCCTACATTACCAGCCACTATTTTCCTATCACCCATTAACCTGAGAACCATTTTCAAGGTATGGACCATGTCAGTTAGGAATGCTTTAGGCTTCAATGAACAAAATATTTGGTGACTGCCTTAAACAACAGTGACTCTTGCTATTTCACCTAACATGATGTCTAGAGGTAGGCAGTTCCAGGGATGGGGCAGTAGCCAACAGTGTCAGTTAGAACCTAAATTTTTTCCTGTCTTTCCTCTTTGCTGTCTTTAGGTGTGACGGTGATATTTCTCTTCATGGTCATGGGAGGGTTGCCACTGAACCATCATGCATGCCTTCACAATAATTTCTAAAAGCAGAAGGAGAGAGGAACACGAACAAGCTCTTATTTCCTTTTTTTTTTTTTTTTTTGAGATGGAGTCTTACTCTGTTGCCCAGGCTAGAGTGCAGTGGTGCGATCTCAGCTCACTGCAACCTCCATCTCCCAGGCTCGAGTGATTCTCCTGCCTCAGCCTCTTGAGTAGCTGGGATTACAGGTGCCCACCACCATGCCCAGCTAATTTTTGTATTTTTAGTAGAGACGGGGTTTCACAATGTTGGCCAGGCTGGTCTCAGTCTCCTGACCCCAAGTGATCTGCCTGCCTTGGCCTCTCAAAGTGCTGGGATTACAGGCATGAGCCACTGCGCCCGGCCCAAGTTCTCACTTTTTGTCCCAAAGGAATGGAATATACTTCTCCTTATGTCTCATTGGCCATATCTGGGTCACATGTCTATCATTAGACCAATCATTGACAAAGGGAAGTGGGGTTACCATGATTAGCAGGAAACAATCATGAGTCATCCTCTGGGACTGGGCACATTGAAGGGGTACAAAATCAGATTTGTGTTAGGCAGAAAGAAGTTAGGGTATTCTCTGAGGCATGCTAGCTGCTATAACAAATACATCCCCACATTTCACTGGCTTAACACAACAGAAGTTAATTTCGCATTTGTGTAACAGCCCAATGAGGATGTTCATGGTTGGCAGATGACTTCTTCTACAAGTAGATCTGGGGACCTGTCTTGTGGCTCTGCCTCCTGTAAATGTCAGATGAGGCAAGAAAGGATGGAAAGGTCACATCCACTTCTTAAAAGTCATGATCTGGAAGTGACAGACTTCCCCTCTGCTCACATCCCATTGGTGAGAATTCATCAGAGAGCCCTGCCTGGATCTGAGAGGAGCAGGGAGGCGAAGCCCTGGTTGGGCAGCTAACTCACACAACAATGCCACATGGAGGGAAGCGACTGTTGGGGAGGCAATGAACTGATCTCTTCCAGGCTGATCTATCTCATCCTTGCTTTTAAGAAGCATCCAGGCTGGACGTGGTGGTTCACGCCTGTAATCCCAGCACTTTGGGAGGCCGAGGTGGGCGGATCACCTGAGGTCATAAATTCGAGACCAGCCTGACCAAAATGGTGAAACCCCGTCTCTACTAAAAATACAAAATTAGCCGGGCATGGTGGTGCATGCCTGTAATCCCAGCTACTTGGGAGGCTGAGGCAGGAGAATCGCTTGAACCCGGGAGGCAGAGGTTGCAGTGAGCCGAGATTGTGCCGTTGCACTCCAGCCTAGGCAACAAGAGCGAAATTCTGTCTAAAAATAAGTAAATAAATAAATAAAAATAAAGAGCAGCGTCCAGTCTTTTACAGATCTCTTTGCTAGCCACTTTCCACTAGATACTGCCTATACTTGAGCGCAAATCGTTTTCTGAACACTCCTTTCAGTCACTTCCTTCTCACCCTTTGCCCGAGCAGTTCTCTCTGCCCAGAATACGCCCCCAACCTCCAACTTTTCTTCTCTGCCTGGTGAACTCCTATTCATTCCTCAAAACCCAAGTTAAAAGTCATCTTCTTTGTGGAGCCTTTTTTACTATTTTGTCATAGGCAGGATTTATGGCACTTTGCAGGCTGACTTACCACTGAATTCCACAGTGTGTAGCATACAGTGGGGGCTCAGTTTATGTGCTAAATAGATGTAAGTACTTCAGGTATGAGAACTCATTTGGTTGCAAGCAATAGAAAATGCATCTCAGGTTGCTTTAATGGAATATACTGATTTCTGTAATTGGACATTACCCAGAGGTATGTTCAGGCTTGGCTAAATGCTGGTGCTTGCTTGGATGATGTTCTCAAGCCTCAAGATTCAGTCTGTCTTCATTTTGTCTTCTCTCCTCCATTTTAGCTTGGTTCTCAGCCTCTTGCAGAGGCGAGATGGCTGTCAGCCCCTCCTGACCTTATCCACCGAGGTTCAAGTGCAGCAGGAAACAAAGTCTCTCTCTTCTTGAGTGTTCCAGCTTAAATTCCACCATTCACTCTGGTTGGACTAGCTAGCTTCATGTGCCCATCCACCCCCGAAGAAATCCCAGGCTAGAGGGCTGAGATCATGCAGATTGACTGGGATCTGGTGCTCTGATTCTCCCATCCAGAGTCGGATGCCCCAATCTTGAAGGTGGTGGGGTATGGTCAGCCCCCAGGAGTGCAGGAAGGTGTGGCTTCCCATGGGAACTTCAGGGTATTGTTACCAGGAGATAGAGGAACACCCCTCTCACCCTCATCAACATTCACCACCCTGCACCTTCGCCCTCTGAAACAATCCATATCCTGCCATATCATCCTAGCCACTGTGTACTGAGCACTTACTACGTCCCAAGCACAGTGCTGAGTGTCTTACACACTCAATGACATGGCTTCTAGAATTTCTCCCATTTTCCAGGTGAGGAAAATGAGGACTACAGAACTGAAGTGGCTTGCCCGAGGTTAATAAGTGGCTTTGGAGGAATTTGAAATGAGATCTGATGATTGGCACAACCAATGCTTTAAACCATTGCATTGCAGGACCCTCAATGGTGGCAAAGCTGGAATTTCTGCTTTTGGAACCCAGCTCCTGCAGTCTGGAATTGGCTGTGCAGTGGGTCTCACAACCTCAAAGGATGTGATGTGTGGGATTAATGCTGTCCCTTGCTCTGAATAACTATGGGCTAGATGAAGTTCAAGTGGTGACATGATAAGAATACTGACTCCTGCTCTAAGATGGGAGGGTGGGGATTCCCTGACAGCTGCAATTGAAGTTGGGCACATTTCTATTTAACCCCATCAGGGGACACACTGCCCCGATGCCTTTTTTTTTGTGAGATGGAGTCTCACTCTGTCACCCAGGCTGGAGTGCAGTGGCGCGATCTCGGCTCACTCACTGCAATCTTTGCCTCCAGGGTTCAAGCAATTCTCCTGCCTCAGCCTCCTGAGTAACTGGGATTACAGGTGTGTGCCACCACACCTGGCTAATTTTTTTGTATTTTTTGTAGAGACAGAGTTTCACCATGTTGACCAGGCTGGTATCGAACTCCTGACCTCAAGTGATCTACCGACCTTGGCCTCCCAAAGTGCTGGGTTACAGGCATAAGCCACCATGCCCGGCCCCCTGATGCCATTTTGCCCCCTCTTTGGGTACACAGGGAGCAGGAGGGTAACTGACACGCCAGAACCATCTGCCCAGCTCCTAATAATAAATGGTGAGAGAACCAGGTTCCAGGCAAACATTGCTTTAAAACAAATAAGTGCCTTTTGTCACACCCGGGCAGCCATCTGGGTATCCTCCTCATGTGCCAAGGTGTGGGTGGAGGAAGGGATGGCAGGGGGAGGGAGGAGGTGCCGTTCTGACCTGCACCCCCAGCAGGGGTGGCTTACAAGTTCTCTTCCTTTTGCCACCATGAACAGGGCATTGCAGAGAGACAGAGAGAGAGAGGAAGGCTCACTGGCTTTGAGCTCTCTGGGTACAGTGTCTGAGTGGAGGCAAAGTGCGGTTCCTTCAAGATGTCTGTGGTAGGTGATGCCAGCTCCCAGCCACAGAGCACCTACTATGGGGTCAGGCACTGTGCCATCCACTTTACACGTTAGCTCGTCTCATCCTGACAAACAGATCTGTGCTCACCCATTTTGTAGGTGGGAGGCTGGAGGCTCAGAGACATCCAGTGACTCACCCAAGTTCCCACTAGATGGCACAGTCAGAGTTTGAACCCAGAACCCCAAAGAATACCCTCCCCTCACCACAGTATGCAATTACAAGTCAGTCATCTCTCCACCCTAGCAAGCCAGGGTGGGTTTTCCATGTAATAGACAAGCAGCTGACATCACCCAAGGGAAGGTCTTCCACTTCTAGCCATGGCCCAGCCACCCCCACTGCCCTTCACTCTTAAGCCCATCTGTGGGCTTCTCTAGCCACCTGGCCCACTACGGCCTCCCACTCCTCTCCATCTCCCCCAGTTGAAGAAGAACAGGAGAAAAGACTCCGACACTCCCCAGGAACCTTCGGAGAAGGCCAAAGAGCAGCAGGCGGAGGCAGAGCTCCGGAAGCTAAGGCAGCAGTTCAGGAAGATGGTGGAAAGCCGGAAGTCTTTTAAGTTCCGAAACCAGCAGAAGATTGCGAGTCAGTAGTAAGTGATGGTTGGAGTTTCGCACTGAGTGACCTTGGAGGAAAGTTGGGGTTGGGCTTCATGTTGCTTGTCTTCTGTTCTGTGACCCCTGGGGCAGGGAGCCACCTCTGAGCCCCATTGGAGGATCCACGGTCTTTTATCTGCAGAGCCTAGTTTCAAGAGAAACTCACTTGAGATGGCTTCAGTGAAGAGGGGGAATTTCTTGTCAGAATGCAGGGTGTTTTGGGGACCCCTGGTGGGCAGGGCACCCAGATCTCAGGGAAGGACCTAATTGAGGAAAGAGTTCTGGTTTCTGTTTTTCTCCGCACATGACTTCTGTTCTCTCTCTCTCTGAATTTCAGCCTCAGCTGGTGGGAAGTGGCTGCTCCAGCTCTCAAGTTTACCAGCTGCACAGAGAGAGGGTCTTGAATCAATTCCAACCTCACATTCCTGGGAGACGGAGACTCTGATAGGCTCAGCTTGGGTTAGCAGTCTCCTCCTGGTCCAATCAGCTGTGGCTTGAGAGGGCAAGGGACACAAAAATGTCTGGGGCTGTCACTCCCTTGGTCCTACCAGGGAAGTGGAGGAGTTCCCAGAGAAGGCGGAAACCCTAACAACGTTTCCTAATTGTGTGTCTTATGAGAACTGCAAGATAGAATATTTGAAATTGGATTGCATCAGAAATTACAATCATTTCTTTTCTTTTTTTTTTTTTTTTGGAGTGTATCATTTCTTTTCTCTTTTTTTTTTTTTTTGGAGATGGAGTTTCACTGTTGTCGCCCAACCTGGAGTTGGCAATGGCGTGATCCCAGCTCACTGCAACCTCCGCCTCCCGGGTTCAGGTGATTCTCCTGCCTCAGCTTCCTGAGTAGCTGGGATTACAGGCGCCCACCACCATGCCTGGCTAATTTTTGTATTTTTAGTAGAGGCAAGATTTCACCACGTTGGCCAGGCTGGTCTCAAACTCCTGTCCTCAGATGATCCACCCACCTCGGCCTCCTAAAGTGCTGGGATTACAGGTGTGAGCCACCATGCCCAGCTGTGTGTATCATTTCTTCAGGCAACAGAAAGGTGTTCCCTGGGGTTGAATACACAAACATTAAGCAGACTTTCTTAGATTCCCTCCAAGGGAATGTAATTCCTTAGCTGCATCCATATTGTTTATAAAGGCAGAAACTGTCCATTGTTAGAAAGGAAATCTTACTGTTAGATGAGAAGTTCACAGGATGGGGAAAAGGAATTTTTATTTTTATTTTTATTTTTGAGACAGGGTCTGGCTCTGTAACCCAGGCTGGAGTGCAGTGGTGCCATCTCGGCTCACTGCAACCTCTGCCTCTCAGACTCAAGCGATTCTCCGACCTCAGCCTTCTGAGTAGCTGGGATCACAGGCGTGTGCCAGCACGCCTGGCTAATTTTTTGTATCGATGGGGTTTCACCAAGTTGCCCAGGCTGGTTTCAAACTCCTGAGCTCAAGCAATCCGCCCGCCTAGGCCTCCCAAAGTTCTAGGATTACAGGCGTGAGCCACCATGCCCGGCCTGAAAAGGGATTCTTTAGATTTTCCATGGATTCAACTTACTCAGGGCCAGGGCTAGCCCATAAGGGACCTCCATGTGAATTTTTTTAAAAGGTACACTTTCTCAAGACGCTTTACTGTCATCTGTTGGAAAAATTGTCATTATGTAGAGATTTTGTTAGAACAAGAAAGTGTCTCCCAGAAAAGTGTAATAAATCTACAAAACAGTGGTGTGTTTTCAAGCTGGTGGTGCTTCCTAGGGTTGTGCAGGCCACAACCTGCACATCTGTGGCTGGCTGACCTGATTCGCAAGCCTACCTCTGGTGGGCATCAGGAAATGCCTCCTTTTGATATGTCTCTGACAATTTTTCTTGAATTTAACCCTTCTTCACCCCAACAGCACCCCACACACAGGCTTCTGGCTCTACTAAGTCAATCCATTTGATCTGGTTTCACTTTGATGGAACTGAAGAGGAGGAGGGTGGAAGAGTGGAGAGTTTAGGTTCTTATTATTTTATTTATTTATTTTTTGAGATGGAGTTTCGCTCTTGTTGCCCAGGCTGGAGTGCAATGGTGCGATCTTGGCTCACTGCAACCTGTGCCTCCTGGGTTCATGCAATTCTCCTGCCTCAGTCTCCCGAGTAGCTGGGATTATAGGCATGTGCCACCATACCCAGCTGATTTTGTATTTTTAGTAGAGATGGGGTTTCACCATGTTGGTCAGGCTAGTCTCAAACTCCTGACCTCAGGTGATCCACCCGCCTCGGCCTCCCAAAGTGCTGGGATTACAGGCATGAGCCACCGCACCAGGCCAAGTTTAGGTTCTTTAGAGTGAAACACCTATACAGTATTTAAGGAAGCACTTTTCCCCAGCACCAACCCTGGCTTACAACATTCAGGGAGTAACTTAAGGTTTTGGGGTACTTCACTCCCTTTACACCAGTCCTGGCCTTGCCTGCAAGACAGACACACCTTCCTTTTGCTTTTACCAACCCTCTCTGAAAACCTCTTTTTTTTTTCTTTTTTTTTTTTTTTTGAGATGGAGTCTTGCTTTGTTGCTCGAGCTGTAGTGCAGTGGTGCAAATTTGGCTCACTGCAACCTCTGCCTTCCAGGTTCAAGCGATTCTCCTGCCTCAGCCTCCTGAGTAGCTAGGACTACAGGCGCCCACCACCATGCCTGGCTAATTTTTGTATTTTTAGTAGAGAAAGGGTTTCGACATGTTGGCCAGGCTGGTCTTGAACTGCTGACCTCAGGTGATCTGCCTACCTCGGCCTCCCAAAGTGCTGGGATTACAGGCATGAGCCACGGCACCCTGAAAACCTAACTCTTGTAGAGTATTGTACTCTCTTTTTTCTCTCCACCTTAACAAAGACACTCGCCCCAGCTTCCCCCGCCCGCCTCCTTCCAGGAGGGGCTTAAGCAGGGCAGAAGAGTCCCCAGGCTGGTTGAGAAGACAGGAGGTCACTGGCCAAATGTGGCTATTTACATTTGTAATTAATTAAAATAAATAAAATAAAATAATATTTAGTTCTGCTGAAATAGCCGCATTTCAAGTGCTCAACAATCACTTGTGCCTAAGTGGATACTATGGGCCCCTCAGAGAACATTTTCATCACTGCAGAACGTCCTATTAGAATGGGATCTACAAACTACAGCCAAATCTGGCTGGCTGCTGGTTTTTTGTAATTAAATCTCTATTGGCACACAGCCATGCCTGTTGGTTCACTTTTTGGCCGGTTTGCCAACTCCTGTCCTAGGACATTTTCCTTTCCTTTCTTTTTTTTTTTTTTTTTTTTGAGACAGGGTCTCACTGTGTGTCTCCCAGGCTGGAATGCAGTGGCACGATCTCAGCTCACTGCAACCTCTGCCACCTGGGCTCAAGCAATCCTCCCACCTCAGCTACTTTTAATATTTTCTGTAGAGACAGGGCCTCACTATGTTGTCCAGGCTGGTCGCAAACTCCTGAGTTCAAGCAATCCTTCTGCCTCGGCCTCCCAAAGTGCTGATGTTACAGGAGTGAGCCACTGCGCCAGGCCTGTAGAACATTCTTTTTTGTTTGTTTGTTTTTGTATTGTTGAGATGGAGTCTTGCTCTGTCTCCCAGGCTGGAGTGCAGTGGCGCGATCGCAACTCACTGCAACCTCCGCCTCCCGGGTTCAAGCAATTCTCTGCCTCAGCCTCCAGAGTAGCTAGGATTACAGGCGCCCACCACCCCCCCCGGCTAATTTTTTGTATTTTTACTAGAGATGGGGTTTCACCATCTTAGCCAGGCTGGTCTCGAACTCCTGACCTCATGATCCACTGGCCTCGGCCTCCTAAAGTGCTGGGATTACAGGCATAAGCCACTGCGCCGGGCCTGTAGAACATTCTTTACTGTTCTATAGCAGTGTGTCCAAAACTTTTGAAGCATCTGGACACTCGATCCTGTAATAAAGCAGATTCTGATCCAATTGGTCTCAGGTTGGGCACCTGAGATTCTGCATTTCTCCAAGTTTCCAAAGGACATTCATGCTACTGATCCGCAAACCACATTGGGGAGTGGGTGTCAGTCTCCAGACTGCCAGAAACTCAGCCTCTGTGCCATCTCCCCTTGTTCCATTGTGCAGTCTTTCAAGCTCCCTTTGCTCTTTTCCAAATCCCCCTGTTTTCCCACATCCCGGTAGACATTTCCTCATTAGCACCACAAGGAGAGAAACTGGTGGAGCTTAGAGGCTATTATGCATCCCTGTGTTGATGCAAACTTGAAAAATCCTGCCTGGCCAGGCACGGTGGCTCATGTCTGTAATCTCAGCACTTTGGGAGGCCGAGGCAGGTGGATCACATGAGGCCAGTAGTTCGAGACCAGCCTGGCCAACATGGCGAAACCCGTCTCTACTAAAAATACAAAAAGTAACTGGGCATGGTGGCTTGTGGCTGTAGTCCCAGCTACTCAGGAGGCTGAAGCAGGAGAATCGCTTGAACCTGGAAAGTGGAGGTTGCAGTGAGCCGAGATCATGCCACTGCACTCCAGCCTGGGCAACAGAGTGAGACTCTGTCTCAAAATATAAAATAAAATAAAATAAAATAAAATAAAATAAAATAAAATAAAATAAAAAATAAAATAAATAAAATAAAATCCTGCCTGATGGTTTGCTCCTCATTACTGGAGATAATTGGCGGTAAAGTCTGGAAAGATGGTCTGCAGAATCAGACAGGTGCCAGGGAGTTGCTGGCAAAGGAGAACGTGGGGGTTTCCTCCATGTCTGAGTAATGGGTTTTGACAGGCACAGCTGCAAATTGTTACCTAGAGAAAATACCCACCTCAGAGAAGGCAGGGCAGCAGGAAATCATGGTGAACCAGGTCTCAGGTGATCAGGCTTCCAGACCTGGATCTGAGACCATGGACACGTCCCTTTTGCCTGCTTGCTCAGGTGGGAAATTCCTCTCTCCCGGTCTCCTTGCAGGGCTGATGTGCCTGGAGTGCTCCGTCAAGTTAAACTTAGGGGTTTGGGGTTAATCATGGGCTGCTTTTCCAACAGCAAGGAGATCAAGACCCTGAAGACAGAGCAGGATGAGATCACCCTACTGTTGAGTCTCATGAAATCCTCGAGGAACATGAATCGGAGTGAGAAGAACTACATGGAGCTGCGACTCCTGCTCCAAACTAAGGAGGACTATGAGGCATTGATTAAATCCCTGAAAGTGCTGTTGGCTGAACTGGATGAGAAGGTGTGGTCTTTCTCTTAAAGGGTTAACCAGAACACAGAGCAAAGGGGAGGAGTTGGGGTGCATATTCGTGATGCCTTAGGCCAGACCTGACACCCCTGTATCACAGTATCTCCTCTGGACAGCCCGCTAAATGTGACTGCTGCTATCGTCTCGCTACCCTTGAGACCTCTGGGCTCCAGTATCCAGGCTCAGCCATACCAATCCATCCCTCCGCCGTGCTCCCCAGTGCCACCTGCTGCACCGTGAATAAACCCCCACAGCTGCACCCTATCAGTTAGGAGAGGCTTGGTTATGCTGCAGGAATAAATGCCACCCCCTCACGCATTCTTAGTGGTTTAAAACTTTAAGGTTTCTTCCTTGTTGATGACACGTAACTGTTGTGGGTTGGCTAAGAGCCCTTATATCTTCTCACACTGGGACTAGGCTGAAGGAATAGCCACCATCTTGAACATTGCCAGGTATTATGGGAAAGAAAGAGTTCTAGAGGGTTTCATGCTGGCCATTGAATATTCCAGTCTGGAAGTGAAACATGTCACTTCTTTTTTTTTTTTGAAAGAGTCTTGCTCTCTTGCCCAGGCTGGAATGCAGTGGTGCAATCTTGGCTCACTGCAACCTCTGCTTCCTGGGTTCAAGTGATTCTCATGCCTCAGCCACCTGAGTAGCTGGGATTACAGGCGTGCACCACCATGCTGGCTAATTTTTGTATTTTTAGTAGAGACAGGGTTTCACCATGTTGGCCAGGCTGGTCTCAAACTCCTGATGTCAAATGATCTTCCCGCCTCGGCCTCCCAAAATGCTGAGATTACGGGCGTGAGCCACCGTGCCTGGCTGAAACACGTCACTTCTGCTCATGACCCAGGGGCTCAAAATAGTCGTGTTTTCTGATTATGGTAACAAAAAAAAAAAGAAAAGAAAAAGCAAGAGAAAATAGTCATGTACGTGATCCTACCCATCCACAAAGGGGTCCGGGAAGGGCCACCCTCTCATTATCTGGAAGGCAAAGAGCTGGAAGTATTTGCAGGACAACATTAATGGTCATGCCCCTTACCCTGGCTTGAAAGGCCCTGCGTGATCTAGCCCCTGCCTACCCCTTGGCCCACCTCAGGGCCTTTGCTTATGCTCCCCCACTCCCACCCCTTCCCCCACTCCCGCTTGTCCTTCAGGTCTCAACTTAAATGTGACTTTCTCAGGGAGGCCTTTTCTGTGCCCCCTCTCCAGGTTATACCTCCCTGTGTCAGTCAGGTTCTGGCTGGAACCCAGAGCACCCCCAGCAGGGTACTTTGAGAAGAGTTTAATGCAGGAACCATTTACAAGGGTGTGGGCATGAGCATGAGTAGGGACATTGAAACACTAGGGTTCGCAACAGCGGGGGAGGGGGCAGTGGTCTGGAACTTGGAGAGCCTGGGGCAAGCCAGGGGCAATGGCTCCCCTTTCTTCCAACCCTCTGATCCTCAGTGCAAGGGAGCCCCTCAGCGATGCAGCCAGGTCAGCCTGTTGGGGCACAGAGCAGTGGGTCTGGGGGGCAAGTGGGGGATCCCATGGCTCCCCACAGTACCCCCTTCATAGCTCTTCCCACCATTGTCATTATGCCTTATTCTGGTGTTTAACGGCTCCCTAAGCAGCCTGACAGCTTCACAAGGGCAAGGACCACATCCATTTTGTTCTCTACAGTGCCACCCCTGCCCGCAACCCCGTGCCTGTCCCAGTGTCCCGCACACAGTAGATCCTCAGTAAACATTTACTATTTCTATTATAGTATTAATTAATTGCTATAAAGAAACGGCTGAAACAGGTAGTTTATTTATTTTTAAATATTTATTTATTTATTTTTGAGACAGAGTTTCACTCCTGTCGCCCAGGCTGGAGTGTAGCGGCATGATCTTGGTTCACTGCAGCCTCTGCCTCCCAGGCTCAACCAATTCTCCTGCTTCAGTCTCCCGTGTAGCTGGGATTACAGGCAGGCACCCCCACGCCCACCTAATTTTGTAATTTTAGTACAGACGGGGTTTCACCATGTTGCCCAGGCTGGTCTCGAACTCCTGACCTCAGGTGATCCACCCACCTCGGCCTCCCAAAGTGCTGGGATGACAGGCGTGAGCCGCGGCATGCAGCCAAGACAGGAAGTTTTTAAAGAAAAGAGGTTTAATTGGCTTACAGTTCTGCAGGCTATACAGGAAGCATAGCAGCTTCTGCTTCTGGGGAGGCCTCAGGAAACTTATAAATCATGGTGGAAGGCAAAGGGGGAGCAGGCACGTCACATGGCCAGAGCAGGAAGAAGAGAGAGACGGGGGAGGCGCCACACACTTTTAAACAACCAGATCTCATGAGATTTCACTATCGCCAAGACAATACCAAGGGGGATGGTGCCAAACCATTCATGAAAAACCACCCCCCACCATCCCATTGTCTCCCCCAGGTCCCTCCTCCAACACTGAGGATTACCATTCAACATGAGATTAGGGAGGGACACAGAGCCAAACCAGATCACTACTGAATGAATCTGGAAATCTCTTCACATCTTTTGTCTGCTTCAAACCCTTCAGAAAGTTCCTGTTGTTCTTTCCATAAAGGCCCAACTCCCCAGTGGGGCTGCATCAGCTCTGCCTGCCTCTCTCACCTCCTCCCCTGCCCCCACCTGCTCTGTGTTCCACCCACTGAGGCCTTCTTCGTGTCCTTTAAGCCCACAGTACTGTCCCTCACTTCCAGGACTTTGCGTGTGCTATTCCCTCTGCCTGGAGTGCCTTTCCCTGTCCTCTTTGCTTGGAGACCTCCTATTTATCACTTAGGTCTCAGCTCAAATGCTCTTTTTTTTTTGAAACGGAGTCCCACTCTGTCACCCAGGCTGGAGTGCAGTGGTGCGATCTCGGCTCACTGCAACCTCCACCTCCTGGGTTCAAGCGATTCTCCTGCCTCAGCCTCCAGGGTAGTTGGGACTATAGGTGCCTGGCTAATTTTTTTTTTTTTTTTTGTACTTTTAGTAGAGATGGGATTTCACTGTGTTGGCCAGGCTGGTCTCGAGCTCCTGACCTCAAGTGATCTGCCCTCTTCCGCCTCTGAAGTGCTGGGATTACAGGTGTGAGCCACTGTGCCCGGCCTCAAATGCTACTTCTGCTGGGACATCATCCCTTCATCTTTCCCCACTAGATGTCCCTACTGTGCGTGCCCGAAATACCTTGTGTCTCCTGTCCCCTAGGGCTTGACGCCCCCTTCGTGGCTTGTTTCCAGTCCTAGATTGTAAGTTCTCAGAGGGCAGAGACCCTCTGTCTTGATTATTATCATCACCCACCCCTGCTGTCTGGCACCAGAGCAGGTGTTTAATAAACACTGGTGAATGAATAAATGACTGAAAGGTGACAAAGGAGGCAATAAAGGGAATAAAGAGAAAAATTGAAGAGGAGCTGGGGCCATGGGTCTTTAGAAGCATTAGGAAGAGGCAACACAGCGTGGGGTCCTCAGAAGTTTCTGGGGCTCACTGCCCAGTGCAAACCATCTTTGCCCAATTTCATTCCAGGGTGGCAGTTACCAGAATCCCTTCCTCCCATGCCCACCCTCGATGGGCAAAGCCTCGTCCTCACAGGAGGTCACTGGAGGTGGGGACCTCCCCAGGCCCTACCTGGCCTTCCTCGCAAAATAGTTAATAAGCCGATGGGAAGACAGCATCTTGCTTAGGGAATACAATTCTCCACCAGCCGTTGCCTTGGAGAATGTCTCCCATTGTGCAGAGGCTGAATGACTCCCAGCATCACAAAAGCAGCATCTGACGTAAAGACTCCAAAGGAAATCCAACTCTGAATGTACTCATGAGAGCCACCAGGAAATGCTGATGCCACAGCTTCCCTTAACAGGGAGCCGGAGCTGGAGGACTGCAGGCCCAACTCTAGTGGGGGCGGGCCTGCCTTCAGGTGATGGCGCAGTCTGGAGATGCCGCCCTTGTGGATAGGAAAACAAATTGGTTGTTTTCTTTCTTTTCTTTTTCTTTTCTTTTTTTTTTTCTTTTTTTGAGACCATCTCACTCTGTCACCCAGACTGGAGTGCAGTGGTGTGATCTCAGCTCACTGCAACCTCCACCTCTCAGATTCAAGCAATCCTCCTGCCTCAGCCTCCTGAGTAGCTAAGATTACAGGCACCCGCCACCATGCCTGGTTAATTTTTGTATTTTTAGTAGATATGGAGTTTCACCATGTTGGCCAGGCTGGTCTCGAACCCCTGACCTCAGGTGATCCACCCACCTTGGCCTCCCAAAGTGTTGGGATTACAGGCATGAACCACGGCGTCCAGCTGTTTGTTTTATTTCATTGGTGAGTTAGTGAGGGTTTGCACTGAGGCCCAGCTATTTGTTTTATTTCATTGGTGAGTTAGTGAGGGTTTGCACTGGGGGCGCTGCCTGTGCACGGAACAGAAGGGACACCAAAGTAGAGCGGGGGCCTGACTCCACTGTGTGTGTCGGGGCAGGTGAAGCCCTTTAGTCTCGCTTTGAGTGACACACACGTGTGTGTGTGTGTGTGTGTGTGTTCCAGCTGAAGTCCAAACCACAGCTAGTATCCATTGTAATAGCATTCATATGCCTCATCAGTTTATGTGAAACCCAACAGTTCCCTTGACACCTGATCATCCGAGCTGCCACTCGCATGATGTACCAGTGAGGAAAGGTTGGACTGCAAGTAACAGAATTCTCAAGAGGTATTAATTGAGAGGGTAGAGGTTTGTTGTTATTATGTTGTTATCACATAACAAAATATCTGACTGGAAATAGGCTGTCCCAGGGATTTTTTTTTTTTTTTTTGAGACAGAATCTTGCTCCGTTGCCCAGGCTGGAGTGCAGTGGCACAATCTCGGCTCACTGCAACCTTTGCCTCTCGGGTTCAAGCAGTTCTCCTGCCTCAGCCTCCCTAGTAGTTGGGATTACAGACATGTGCCACCATGCCTGGCTAATTTTTGTATTTTTAGTAGAGATGGGGTTTCACCATGTTAGCCAGGCTAGTATTGAACTCCTGACCTCAAGTGATCTGCCCACCTCAGCCTCCTAAAGTGCAGGGATTACAGGCGTGAGCCACCATGTCCAACCTCCAGGGATGGTTTAGCATCTCTGCAATGATGGTTTGTCTTTTTCTCTCTGACCTTCTTTACTGGTCTGCTCCTCATGGTCACAAGGTGACTGCCAAAGCAGTCATCAGCTGGCATCAGCTTCTGCCATAGCCACATTCATCCTCACAGAACCACATTCAAAGACATGAAGATGAGATGGGAGAGAGTATTTCACAAAATCCCTCTGGCAGATTTCCCCTCATCAGCCATGGCTGGCATATATGCCCATTTCAATGTCAATCACTGACAAAGGGAAGTAGAATTTCCAGAACTGGCTTTGAGTAGACCAGGGGTAGCAAATTACAGGCCAAGGGCCAAATCCAGCCTATCTGTTTATAGTCTTCCAGCAAAGAATGGCTTTGACTTTTAAATGATTGTATGAGTACCTGGTTATAACCTCTTAGTCCGTGGAGCTTAAAATATTTACCATCTGGCCCTTTAAGAAAAGTTTTCTGAGTCCTACACAGTTGCCTGTGGTCAAGTTACTGGGGAGGCTGAAGCAGGAAGATCTTTGAGCCCAGGAGTTTGAGACCAGCCTGGGCAACATAGCGAGACCCTGTCTTAAAAAAAAAAAAAAAAGAGACTGGGCGCCGTGACTCATGCCTGTAATCCCAGCACTTTGGGAGGCTGCGGTGGGAGGATCACCTGAGGTCAGGAGTTCCGAACAGACCAGCCTGGCCAACATGGTAAAAACCCCATCTCTGCATATGGTGGTGCATGCCTGTGATCCCAGCTACTTGGGAGGCTGAGGCAGGAGAATCACTTGAACCTGGGAGGGCAGGGGTTGCAGTGAGCCAAGATCACGCCACTGTACTCCAGCCTGGGCAACAGAGTGAGACTCCATCTCAAAAAAAAAAAAAAGAGAAAATAAAATGTTTTCCACTCGGCTTAGACCAGTGATGCTCTATCCCCTGGAGCTGGGGTGGAGACCACCTTCCCTGATAGATGACTGGTAATAAGGAAATGTTTTGTCTCATATGACAGGAAGTGCAAAGGTAAGGCAAACTTCAGGGCTGGTTGGTTTAGCAGCTCAATTTTGCTGTCAGCTATGTTGGGTGTTATCCTTTGGCTGGGGCAAGATGGGAGCAGCAATTCCAGGCACCACACCCAGACTGACACTACCTTCAGGAGATGTACCCTGTCCTCCAATAACTCTTTTAGGAATGAGAAGACTTTTTCTAGAAGTTTCCTTAGCAGACATCCCTTCCCAATAGAGAGGCCCCAGCTGGTTTAGTCCTGCTTACTCTGGAATCAATACATCACAGGCAGAGGGGGTTTCTCACGGTGGCCTTGGATATGGGAGGAATGGATGTGGGGAGCCACCAGCCACTGTGTCTACCACAGTCCTGGGTGCCACCTCTGCCAGCTCTCTGGCTCTGGGTCACTCTTCTGTCTTCCACTGGGCACTTCTTGCTGCCTAAAATCCATCTTTCATCAGAGCGCTGTGGCTCCATGACTCTAAATGTGGATGTAGACCAAGGATCTCAAACTGGTAGATCTCAGGATGGATTAAGCCTGGTGACAGGAAGGCTGTGGCCCATTTATTGTTTAAGATTTCATTAGTTGACAACATATTAATAATTGATAGATGTTCAGCATATACCAAAAAAAAAAAAAAAAAAGAAAAAAGAAAAAGAAGAGACAAAGAAAAAAGAAAAAAAATTGTGAGATTTCATAAAGAAATAAGAGTTCTGGCTTTAGAAACCGAAAGATCTGGGATATCAGGCATGAATTTTCATAGAACAACCGTTAACTAAATAGTGTTGCGGGTGACACAACTGTTCCCCTATTCTCTACTTTTTCTTCTCTAACAGATTTCTGACTTTGTTCAAGCTGGTCTTGTGCCCAGCTAAAATGCTCCTCCCATCTTCCCTTGCAGCTAAGGGTGGACAGTGAGTTTTAAGAGGAAGTCTGTTGGGGTTTCTGGGAAAGTCTTGCTTTCCAGATAGATGACCTACCTCTTCAAACGTATTGCATCTTCTACTTTCCTCCCTGGAATAAGACCGTGAAGGTCGGTGCAATGGCAGTCATCTTTTAACAATAAGGGAACTGTCAGGTGAATTACAGAGATCTTGTCCTTACTTCTTTGAGCTATGGAACTTAGCTCAGCAACTTTTTTCTTTTTTTGTATATGTGAGACAGAGTCTCCCTCTGTCACCCAGGCTGGAGTGTAGTGGTGCATCCTCAGCTTATTGCAACCTCTGCCTCCCAGGTTCAAGCAATTCTCATGCCTCAGCCTGCCAAGTAGCTGGGATTACAGATGTGCACCACCATGCTCAGCTAATTTTTGTATTTTTAGTAGAGATGGGGTTTTACTGTGTTGGCCAGGCTTGTCTTGAACGTCTGACCTCAGGTGATCCACCTGCCTCGGCCTCCCAAAGTGCTGGGGTTACAGGCAGCAGCAACTTTTTATGAGAAAAAGATAAACCGTAATTTGCTTAAGCCACTCTTTTTTTTTTTTTTTAATTTATTTTTTTATTGATAATTCTTGGGTGTTTCTCACAGAGGGGGATTTGGCAGGGTCATGGGACCATAGTGGAGGGAAGGTCAGCAGATAAACAAGTGAACAAAGGTCTCTGGTTTTCCTAGGCAGAGGACCCTGCGGCCTTCCGCAGTGTTTGTGTCCCTGATTACTTGAGATTAGGGATTGGTGATGACTCTTAACGAGCATGCTGCCTTCAAGCATCTGTTTAACAAAGCACATCTTGCACCGCCCTTAATCCATTTAACCCTGAGTGGACACAGCACATGTTTCAGGGAGCACAGGGTTGGGGGTAAGGTCACAGATCAACAGTATCCCAAGGCAGAGGAATTTTTCTTAGTGCAGAACAAAATGAAAAGTCTCCCATGTCTACTTCTTTCTACACAGACACGGCAACCATCCGATTTCTCAATCTTTTCCCCACCTTTCCCGCCTTTCTATTCCACAAAGCCGCCATTGTCATCCTGGCCCGTTCTCAATGAGCTGTTGGGCACACCTCCCAGACGGGGTGGTGGCCGGGCAGAGGGGCTCCTCACTTCCCAGTAGGGGCGGCCGGGCAGAGGCGCCCCTCACCTCCGGGACGGGGCGGCTGGCCGGGCGGGGGGCTGACCCCCCCACCTCCCTCCCGGACGGGGCGGCTGGCCGGGCGGGGGGCTGACCCCCCCACCTCCCTCCCGGACGGGGCGGCTGGCCGGGCAGAGGGGCTCCTCACCTCCCAGTAGGGGCGGCCGGGCAGAGGCACCCCTCACCTCCCAGACGGGGCGGCTGGCCGGGCAGGGGGGCTGACCCCCCCCACCTCCCTCCCGGAGGGGGCGGCTGGCCGGGCGGGGGGCTGACACCCCCACCTCCCTCCCGGACGGGGCGGCTGGCCGGGCGGGGGGCCGACCCCCCCACCTCCCTCCCGGACGGGGCGGCTGGCCGGGCAGAGGGGCTCCTCACTTCCCAGTAGGGGCGGCCGGGCAGAGGCGCCCCTCACCTCCCAGACGGGGCGGCTGGCCGGGTGGAGGGCTGACCCCCCCACCTCCCTCCCGGACAGGGCGGCTGGCCGGGCGGGGGGCTGACCCCCCCATCTCCCTCCCGGACGGGGTGGCTGGCCGGGCTGAGGGGCTCCTCACTTCCCAGTAGGGGCGGCCGGGCAGAGGCGCCCCTCACCTCCGGGATGGGGCGGCTGGCCGGGCGGGGGGCTGACCCCCCCACCTCCCTCCCGGACGGGGCGGCTGGCCGGGCGGGGGGCTGACCCCCCCACCTCCCTCCCAGACGGGGCGGCTGGCCGGGCAGAGGGGCTCCTCACTTCCCAGTAGGGGCGGCCGGGCAGAGGCGCCCCTCACCTCCCAGACGGGGCGGCTGGCCGGGCGGAGGGCTGACCCCCCCACCTCCCTCCCGGACAGGGCGGCTGGCCAGGCGGGGGGCTGACCCCCCCATCTCCCTCCCGGACGGGGTGGCTGGCCGGGCTGAGGGGCTCCTCACTTCCCAGTAGGGGCGGCCGGGCAGAGGCGCCCCTCACCTCCCGGACGGGGTGGCTGCCAGGTGGAGACGCTCCTCACTTCCCAGATGGGGTGGCTGCCAGGCGGAGAGGCTCCTCACTTCTCAGACGGGGCAGCTGCCGGGCGGAGGGGCTCCTCACTTCTCAGACGGGGCGGTTGCCAGGCAGAGGGTCTCCTCACTTCTCAGACGGGGCGGCCGGGCAGAGACGCTCCTCACCTCCCAGACGGGGTCTCGGCCGGGCAGAGGTGCTCCTCACATCCCAGATGGGGCGGCGGGGCAGAGGCGCTCCCCACATTTCAGACGATGGGCGGCCGGGCAGAGACGCTCCTCACTTCCTAGATGTGATGGCGGCTGGGAAGAGGCGCTCCTCACTTCCTAGATGGGATGGCGGCCGGGCGGAGACGCTCCTCACTTTCCAGACTGGGCAGCCAGGCAGAGGGGCTCCTCACATCCCAGACGATGGGCAGCCAGGCAGAGACGCTCCTCACTTCCCAGACGGGGTGGCGGCTGGGCAGAGGCTGCAATCTCGGCACTTTGGGAGGCCAAGGCAGGCGGCTGGGAGGTGTAGGTTGTAGCGAGCCGAGATCACGCCACTGCACTCCAGTCTGGGCACCATTGAGCACTGAGTGAACGAGACTCCGTCTGCAATCCCGGCACCTCGGGAGGCCGAGGTTGGCGGATCACTCGCGGTTAGGGGCTGGAGACCGGCCCGGCCAACACAGCGAAACCCCGTCTCCACCAAAACCAGTCAGGTGTGGCGGCGCGTGCCTGCAATCGCAGGCATTCGGCAGACTGAGGCAGGAGAATCATGCAGGGAGGTTGCAGTGAGCCGAGATGGCAGCAGTACAGTCCAGCTTCGGCTCCGCATGAGAGGGAGACCGTGGGGAGAGGGAGAGGGAGAGGGAGGGAGAGGGAGAGGGGGAGGGGAAGGGGGAGGGGGAGGGAGAGGGAGAGGGAGAGGGAGAGGGAGAGGGAGAGCTTAAGCCACTCTTTAGTTGGGCTTTCTGTAACTTACATTTTTTCTTAACTGATAACAAGCTGGTGCCCCTTAAGATAGGGTGCACACATTCTAGTTTGCTATCATCTCTGCCATCCTGTCATGTCTATTTGCTGGACCACTTTACTTTTGTATGCCACCCTCCTGCCCACTTTTTGCAGCCCACTAGTGTAGATTTTTCTCTCAGCTTCCCATGAAGATAGCTGAGACTGTGCTGTGTAGACTTTCTGAAGACTTGGGGATAACCAAAGGGAATTAAAACTCAGGGATGCTAACACGGAATCCCAGATGCAACTGCTTGCAGAATTCACCAGCCCAGGCTCTGCACGGGGCCCCTGATTCCCAGCTGGAGGCTGACAAACTTTATATTTCACAACACTGAGCACTTAAGCCTTCCTCATCTAGAACTTCTCAATTCCAGAACAGGAACTGAGCTTTAGACTATCCTCATCAAGCCACCATCTCGACACAAACAGGAACAAACCAAGTTGCTTTGAATGTCATTGTCCTCTTCATTCCCTGTTGCCTTTACCTACCAGGGTTCCAAAAAGACATCTCAGAGCTTAGTCTCAGCCCAGCCTCTAAGAAGAGAATGTGCCTCTGTTGTGCTTAGGATCTGGTACTTACTAGTCTTGAAGGGCACTCTTCTTCAGATACTAGTTCTGAAACTTCTCTAAGGCCTTCTGGGACTTAGCATTAGCCGTCTGCTTCTAGATGGGGTTAAATATTGATAATGAAGATATTTGGGTGTGGGCTAAGGCTGCATTGTGGGCTGGTTATGCACACTGCTAGCAGTGTGTTGGAATGCCTCATATGAGAAACTATGGAGTGAAGTTTCCGGGACACTGGCTGGGAGTGTTTGGGTCTGGAGAACTGGGCTGGCATTACGAGGGTATAGAGAGACACTAACATTTTTTCCTGCCAGCCATGGCAGTGTAGATTTCACTTATTTGAAGTCAGAGTCAATTATCCTAATGAGTAAAGTGGATGGTGTGTCAGGAATGCTTTTGGCTGCAAGTAACATAATACCCAACCAAGAGAGGCTTTGACCAAAAGGACATTTATTTATCAATTATTTTTAATAAGCTTTTTATTTTGGCATACTTTAAAATTTACGGAATGGTTACAAAGATAATATAGTTCTCACATATCCTTCACCCGGTTCCCCCAATGTAAACATTGTACATTACCGTGGGACATTTGTCAAAACTAAGCAATGAATGTTGATATGTTACTATTAACTGAACTCCAGTTTTTATTGGAGCTTCTTTTTTTGAGATGGAGTTTTGCTCTTGTCGCCCAGGCTGGAGTGCAATGGCATGATCTCGGCTCACTGCAACCTCTACCTCCCAGGATCAAGCAATTCTCTTTCCTCAACCTCCCAAGTAGCGGAATTACAGGCGCCCACCACCATGCCTGGCTAATTTTTGTATTTCTAGTAGAGACGGGGTTTCACCATGTTGGCCAGGCTGGTCTCAAACTCCTGACCTCTGGTGATCCACCAGCCTGGGCCTCCCAATGTGTTGGGATTACAGGCATGAGGCACAGCACCCAGTCCTTTATTAGGATTTCACTAGTGTTTTCCATTCATGTCCTTTTACTGTCCCAGGATCTAATCCAGGGCACCAATTTGCATTTAGGTTATTTACGTTTCACTTAGCAAAAAGTCTCTGGACATAGGTGGCCTCAGTGTTGTTTCATCTGCTTTAAAAGATTGTGGCAGCCATGCCTTTCCCTGCACCCCAAGAGGATGCATCCCTCCATCCTCTGCTCCATCTGCATTGCCTCAGAGGGAGAGATGTCCCATTGCCCTTCTATGAGGCCAGACCCCATCCTGTGTTACCTTCCTTCAGTCACATCCCCCATTATTAGAGAAAGACCTCTCTCCATCAATGACCGCCCTGGTTGCTCTCATCTTCACCTTCTATTTTGTCAAGGTATCCCTCCCTTGCCTCTTTTATTTCAAAATAACCTAATAACTGAGCACAAACGAAACTCAAAACACAACCCACCTGCAATCCCAAATTACTGCCAGCTTCCCCCTTTCTAGAAGTTTCTAGAAGGACTTGTCTACATTCCCTGCTTCCCTTTCTTGGGCAGATGTTATTTCCACCTCCGTCCCTGGTGATGGGAAGAAGTCACCTCCACTGAAACTGCTTTCTTTGGGGTCACTAAGGACCTCGACTTCTCTAAGCCCAGTGGCTTTGCCTCAGTTTCCATCCAGAGACTTTGAATCTGTGAATACCAAACTTCCAAGCAGGAAAGGACCTCCTAAATACACAGCCCATTTGTGGATCCCTTTAGGACAGTGGTTATTTTTATTTTTATTTTTTTTGAGACAGAGTCTTGCTCTGTTGCCCAGGCTGGAGTGCAGTGGTGCAATCTTGGCTCACTGCAAGCTCCGCCTCCCGGGTTCATGCCATTCTCCTGCCTCAGCCTCCCAAGTAGCTGGGACTACTGGCGCCCGCCACCACGCCTGGCTATTTTTTTGTATTTTTAGTAGAGACAGGGTTTCACCGTGTTAGCTAGGATGGTCTTGATCTCCTGACCTCATGATCCACCTGCCTCGGACTCCCAAAGTGCTGGGATTACAGGCGTGAGCCACTGCGCCCAGCCAGGACAGTGGTTCTTAAACTTATCACTCCCAAAAACCATAACACTCCTTCCTTCCTTCCTTCCTTTCTTTCTTTCCTTCTCTCTATCTTTCCTTCCTTCCTCCCTCCCTCCCTTCCTTCCTTCCTTTTTTTTTTTTTGAGACAGAGACTTGCTCTGTCACCAGAGCAAGACTGGAGTGCAGTGGTGCGATCTCCTTCCACTGAGTTGTTAATTACACATGATGAGGTGCACGCGTCTTAAGGATACAGCTCAATGAACTGATACTTAGGTATACACTCGTAATCATCACCAAGATCAAGAGGTAGATTATTGCAGTGTCTGGAAGGCTTCCTTGGTCTCTTTCCACAAACCACCCCCAAGGAACCTCATCCTGATCTCCAGCATCATAACTTTGTTTTGTCTGCATATAGAATTGCATCTAAATCACCTCTTCCAGGATATGCACTTTATAACTGGCTTTCTTCATTCAACATTATGTCTGCCAACACCCTTTTTCAACAGCAAATAATTATCCCTTTACAATCCTGAAATGAAATCCATAAATGATAGAATATTTTCCCTTTACTGATGTTTTAAAATCAATATGATGCCTTAATTATAATATAAGGAAGAAATAAAAGTTATTTGTACTAGAATGATATTTATTTTGATACGTGAATGTCCTCATCTGACTTACCTAGAACAGGGCCAGCAAACTGTGTCTGCAGGGAACCAGATAGTGAATATTTTGGCCTTGTGGACCACGTGGTCTCTGTTGCAAGTCCTTAGCTCTGCCTTTGTAGCTTGAGGGCAGCCATAGACAATACATAAATGAATGGGCATGGCTGGATTTCAATAAAACTTTATTGACAAAAACAGGTAGTGGGCCAGATTTGACCAAGGGCTGGAGTTTGCAGACCCCTGGCCTAAAAACTGCAGTGAGAGGCCTGTATTGATAGGCAGAATTGCCAAGCATTACACATACTGCAGACAGATGCAGGCTGACTGTATCCACAACTCGAAGAACATGATTCAGGCTGTGCTGGTGACGTGATTTTCAGAATGGTGACCAACTCTCGTAAAGTTCCAAACAAATCGAAGAATAATCTTCTCTTGATTGATACAGTGACTACAGTCCCGGATAATTCAGTGTCTATTAGAATTGAATGGAAAATTCTGTGTGTGTACATAGAAAAGATAGTTGTGTTTTTGTTTGTTTGTTTTTTTAAGATAGGGTCTTGCTCTGTTCAGGCTGGAGTGCAGTGATGCAATCATGGCTCACTGCAGCTTCGACCTCCTAGGCTCAAGTTATCCTCCTGCCTCAGCCTCTCAAGTAGCTGAAACTATAGGTGCATGCCACCAAGCCTGACTATTTTTAGATTTTTCTGTAGAGATAGGGGTCTCACTTTGTTGTCCAGGCTGGTCTCAAATTCCTGGTCTCAAGTGATACTCCCACCTTGGCCTCCCAAAATGCTGGCCAAATTTTCTGTACCTAGAATCAAACTATCTTTTTTGATCAGATGTGGAAAAGGAGCTGGGCATGGTGGCTCATGCCTGTAATCCCAGCACTTTGGGATGCTGAGGCGGGTGGATCACTTGAGGCCAGGAGTTCGAAACCAGGCTGGCCAACATGGCGAAACCCCATCTGTACTAAAAATACAAAAAAATTAGACAGGCATGGCGGTGCATGCCTTTAGTTCCAGTTACTCGAGACGCTAAGGTAGGAGAATCGCTTGAACCTGGAAGGAGGAGGTTGTGGTGAGCCAAGATCGCGCCACAGCACTCCAGCCTGGGCGACAGAGTGAGACCCTGTCTCAAAAAACAAAAAGAAAGTTTCAAAAGAAAATAAAAGTATAAAGAGGTCTCTCATCTACGTAACATCCAGGGGGCCACTGGGAAGTCACAAGGATGGAGGAGAAGTCTTGGATGCCTGGTGCTATCTCACATGTTGCAGGGTATGTGACCTCTCGTGACCCACCCATTACATGCCACTAGTGGCTTCATCATTGCAAGAGCCAAAAAATCACTTCTCCAAGTTTACAGAAGTCCCCTGGGAGGACGATGTCATTTCTGCTGGAAACCATGGCTTTGGGTAGGCAGAATGTATGTCATTGTGTATAAATGTCACAGGTGAGTGACATTTACATGCACAGGTGACAGCAAATCTCCAGACTGCTTTATTGTACCCCGAACTGGCTAAGATTAAGTCTAACTGAGGAGGCATCCAACAGATAAGTTAAAATTCCATTTATAGGAAAAGAAAGAACATTGCAGTTTTTGTCTGAGCACACTTCAGTTAGTGAACTGTAGAGCTGGTACCCATACAGATGCTATCTGAGCACACTTCAGTTAGTGAACTGTAGAACGGGTACCCATACAGATGCTAACACAGCTGGAATTTCTCTCTCTCTCTCTTTTTCAGATTCTTCAGATGGAAAAAAAAATCGCAAACCAAAAACAGATTTTCGCAAAAATGCAGGAGGCCAATAACCCCCGGAAACTGCAGAAACAGATTCACATTTTGGAAACCCGTTTGAATCTCGTATGTAAAGTGTTCTCTGCAGCTCTGCAAACAGCTCTGCCCACGTTTGCTCAGAACAAAAATGATGTCTGCCCAGCCATTAGCAGAACATACCCATTTCCCTGGTTGACTCAGGAGCAGGTGAACTAATGGCCACACAGGCCAGGAAGCCTTTAGGATTTACTGTCCACCTTAGCAAATGCGGTTATCCCCTCAAACCCTTACCCGAATCCCCCAACCTATCTGGGATGCCTACTCTTAGTTCTCTGCCTCCAAACTTCCTGTTGGTTTTCAAGAAGCAGCTCAAGCATTACCCATTACCAAAGCAGCATTAGTTAGACCTTCCTCCTCTGTGACAAGCTGCTCATGCCTCTATCATAGCCAGTGCCTTTTTGTTGTCGGTGTTGTCTCTGAGAATGAGTAGGCATAGATATGCATAACTTGATAATGGGAAAGGTGACACTGATCATCCTCAATCTACAGTGACTTTTGCATTAAGCAGGGTTCCTTAAATTGCAATCTGGCTTAAGAAAAAAAGGGGAATGTGTTAGTCATAGAATTGAAAGATCCAGAGGAGGAAGTGGGGCCTTCAGGCATAGCTGGATCCAGGTGCTCCATACATGTCTTTAGGACATATTCTCTGTCCACCTCTCCTCTGAGTGGATTTCATTTTTGGGTAGCCCCCAGTGTGAACGAATGCTAGTAGAAATGAAACATCTTTTTCCTAAGAGTTTAATGACGTATTCTGGGGAGAGTTCCCACTGGGCCAGCTTGGGTCATGTGCCCATTTCTGAACCAATCAGGGTGGGTGGTCAGAAGAATGAAATACATGGGCCTGAGTCACATGGCTACCCTGGGGCCCCTCTCCTCCAAACCCACCCACTGCTACCCCAAGTCAGGGAAGGGCAGCCCTATTCAAAATAAGTGGATTAGAGGAGAGGTGGTTCCCCTGGAAAAGCAAAAAGAGTGGAGAAGGAATGATGGACAGGGACAAACCACACATTCCAGTCTGGTTTGTGAAACTGTAGCTCCCACATGAGCTACTAGAGAGAGAAAGTGAATGGATTTGGAAGAAAGCCTGTCATTCCTTCACTAAACAAAGCTCTTAGCTTCCCCCAGACTTTGACCACCAGGCTTTGAGCAGGCATGGTGGGAGCTAATTGGATCTGATCTCTGTCTGCCTCCCCAAGTTGCTGCTGAAGGACTGGGCAGTGTCTTTTTAATATCCATGCCCAGTGATTTGCAACTGTGCCTCAGAATTCCTAGGATATGGGTTAAAAATACAGATTTTTGGATTTCCTCCAGATTCACCAAATCAGAACCTCCAGGGCTTAGATTTGGGCATCTGCACCGTTATTAGCAAACCCAGAGAGACTGAAGGTCCCATTGGTTAAGAATCATAGATTTAATGCCTGGCATGGTGTTTAATGCCTCAGCAAATGTCTGTTGATTGAATGAGTTACTAAATGCATGCATGATTTAATGATGACTTGTCTATAGGTATAATTTTTTTTTTTTTTGAGACGGAGTCTCACTCTGTCACCTAGGCTGGAGTGCAGTGGCACGATCGTGGCTCACTGCAGCCTCAGAGGTCTGCTTTTTTGTTCTAAGTCTATTCAGATGTTCTATTCTTCTCGAGTCAATTTCAGTAGTTTATGTCTTTCTAGGAATTGGTCTATTTCATCTAAATTATGCTAATCTGTTGGTATATAGTTGTTCCTAGTATATCCCTTATACTTTTTCCATAAGATCTGTAGTAATGCTCCTTTTTATATTTCTGAGAGGTCTGTTTTTTGTATCTCAAACTGGTCCCCTCTTCCCTTCATCCCTAACGAGATGTGATTGTGCCTTTTAATAGGTTAAGCAGCTGACCTGGCGCGGTGGCTCACGCCTGTAATCCCAGCACTTTGGGAGGCCAGGGTGTGTGGATCACTTGAGGTCAGGAGTTTGAGGTCAGCCTGGCCACCATGGTGAAACCCTGCCTCTACTAAAAATACAAAAAAATAAAAATAAAAATTAGCCAGGCATGGTGATGCATGCCTGTAATCCCAGCTATTTTGGAGGCTGAGGCAGGAGAATTGCTTGAATCTAGGAGGCGGAGTTTGCAGTGAGCCGAGATTGTGCCACTGTACTCCAGTCTGGATGACAGAGTGAGAACCTGTCTCAAAAAAAAAAAAAAAAAAGGTTAGGCAGCCATCTCTAAAGGCAATTTTGGGGTCTCAGAGTACCCCATGGTCCTAAATATCCTCCACCTACTCAGTGGGGCCTGAGAGTCCTCCCCATAGGTCAGGTCTTTCCCCCCCACAATCAGAGGATAGATAGTATGCTACGGTCCTGGAGCAAAATTCACAGTAAGGAGCAAATGAGTGGTAACTGATAACTTCCCAAGAGGAAGTGGAGGATGCAAAGATAGAATAAGAATGCTCTGCTCCCAGGGACTCCCCTACCTTGTGTGGTGGCTATGGAGACACTCAGGAACACCCAGAGCTCAGACTAGCAGAAGCAAGCAAAAAGCCCAGGATGCAACATTTTAGGAGGCTCTTCTGCTCAGGCTTGTGGAAACACAGGGCTGGCACCTGAGAGTGAGTGCCTCCTTACATTTCATGCCCCGGTTGCTTCACTTGCTTTACCCCAGTGTTGGCCCTGCAGAAACCGAATGTTTCTTAGAACATACTTTGAAAACCTCCAGTGAAATTAAATCCCCTTGCTGTTAGGAATATTTTTTTGTAGTTGTCTCTTTTCAGTGCTTATGGGAGCACTTTACGTGGTCTTTTAAAAAAACTTAAAAAATAATTTTATTAAAAAAAAATAAACCAGATGTGGTGGCTCACATCTATAATCCAAGCACTTTGGGAGGCTGAGGTGGGAGGATCATTTGAGGCCAGGAGTTTGAGACCAGCCTGGGCAACATGGTGAAACTCTGTCTCTACTAAAAATACAAAAAAAAAAAAAAAATAGCTGAGTGTTGTGGCCTGCACCTGTAGTCCTAGCTGCTCGGTAGGCTGAGGTGGGAGGATCACTTGAGCCTGTGATTGCACCATTTTATTCCAGCCTGGTTGACAGAGCGAGACCCTGTTTCATAAAAATAAAAAATAAATTCTACTGTGTATATTTAAGGTATATAATATATTATTTGATACATGTAGATATTAAAGTGGTTACAATAGTGAAGCAAGTTAACATATCTGTTATCTCACATAGTTACCCATTTTTGTTTTTGTGACAAGAACCTCTAAAATCTGCACATTAGCAGGAATCCCAAATACAGTACAATTTTTTTTTTTTTTTTTGAGACGGAGTCTGGCTCTGTCCCCCAGGCTGGAGTGCAATGGCACGATCTTGGCTCACTACAACCTTCACCTCCCAGGTTCAAGCAATCCTCCTGCCTCAGCCTCCCGAGTAGCTGGGACTACAGGTGTGCGCCACCACACCCAGCTAATTTTTTGTATTTTTAGTAGAGACAGGGTTTCACCATGTTGGTCAGGCTGGTCTCAAACGCCTGACCTCACTCAGGTGATCCACCCATCTTGGCCTCCCGAAGTGTTGTGATTACAGGCATGAGCCACTGCGCCTAGCCCCAAATACAGTACAATTAGAGTCCCTGGAGTCCTGATGTTGTACCTTAGGGCTCTAGACTTGCTCATTCTCCATATCTGCTACTTGCTATCCTCTGACCTCCATCTCCCTGCTCCCTTTCCCCCTCACCCCCTCTGCCCTGGTAACCACTGTTTTATTCTCTATCTCTGTATATTTGACTTTCTTTCTTTCTTTTTTTTTTTTTTTGAGACTGAGTCTCATGCTGTCACCCAGGCTAGGGTGCAGTGGCGTAATCTCGGCTCACTTCAACCTCTGCCTCCCAGGTTCAAGCGATTCTCCTGACTCAGCCTACCAAGTAGCTGGGGATTACAGGTGCCCACCAACATGCCTGGCTAATTTTTGTATTTTTAGTAGAGATGGGGTTTCACCATGTTGGCCAGACTGGTCTCGAACTCCTGATCTCAGGTGATCCACCCGCCTCAGCCTCCCAAAGTGCTGGGATTACAGGCATGAGCCACTGCGCCCAGCCTTGACTTTTTTTTGTTTAGAGTCCACATATAAATGAGATCATGCAATATTTTTCATTCTGCGTCTGGCTTATTTCACTTAGCGTAATGTCCTCCAGTTTCATCCATGTTGTGGCAAATGGCAGAGTCTCCTTTTTTAAGGCTCAGTAATATTTTATTGTGTATATATATGCACACACACACATATGTATCCACATATACATACATATATATACCTATATGCATATATGTATACACACATGTATACATACATATACACATACATATATACACACATATAAGTATGTGCATATATATACACACTCACACACCCCAATTTCTTGTTTTTGAAACAAAGTCTCACTCTGTTGCCCAGGCTGGAGTGCAGTGGCGTGATCTCGGCTCACTGAAACCTCTGCCTCCCAGGTTCAAATGATTCTCTTGCCTCAGCCTCCTGAGTAGCTGGGATTACAGACACCTGCCATCATGCCTGGCTAATTTTTGTATTTTTAGTTGAGACGGGGTTTCACCATGTTGGCCAGGCTGGTCTTGAACTCCTGACCTCAGGTGATCCACCCGCCTTGGCCTCCCAAAGTGCTGGGATTACAGGTGTGAGCCACTGTGCCCAGCCCCCACTTTCTTCATCCATTCATCTGTCAGTGAATACTTAGGTTGTTTCCAAATCTTGGCTGTTGTGAATAATGCTGCAGTGAATGTGAGACTGCAGATGCCCTTACGAGGTGGTGATTTTATTTCCTTTGGGTGTATGCCCAGGAGAGGGATTGCTGGGTCATATGGTAGTTCTATTTTTAACTTCTTTAGAAACCTTCATCCTTTTATTCCATAATGGCTGCACCAATCTACATTCCCATGAACAGTGTAACCAATCACATCGCCTTTAAAAAACAACTTTTAAAAAAGCTAAGACAATTTATAAGACATACAGGAAAGTAGAGGGAATAAAATAATGAGCAAATCTATCACTTTGATTTAATAACTGTTAACATTTGCTTTATTTGCTTCACCATTTTTCCCCTGAAGTATTTAAAGGTGAATTACAAGTGTCACGACATTTCACCCCTAAATACTTCAGTTTGCATATTTTAAAATTAAACTTTTTCTTTCACAGTCATAAGACCAGTATTACACCCTACAAAATGAATAATATTTCCATAATATTACACAATACCTAGTCCATATTAACACGTACCTGGTTGGCCCTAAAATGTCTTTTAAAGGTAGATCCAGTCAAGGTTCACATAATTGTTAGGTCTCTTAAATTTCTTTAATCTAGAACAGTGGCTCTCAATTGAGGGTGATTTTGCCTCCAAAGGGACGTTGTCCCCAAAAGGAGACACTGTTGGTTGTCATAACAGAGTTGGAGGTGAGGGTGCTACCTGCATGTAGTGGGTATTTAATATCCCACAAAGCATAGGACAGCCCCCTATAGCAAAGAATCATCCAGCCCAAAATGCCAGTAGTGCTGAGTTTGAGAAACCCTGCATGAAAACAGCCCCACCCAATTTTTTTTTCATGCTGTCAATTTGTTGAAAAGTCCAAGTCAATTGTCCTGTAGAAAGTTCTATTAATATCTTCTCAGTTTGGCTGATTATTTCCTATGCTGTCATTTAGCTTGTTCCCCACTCCTCTGTTAATTGCCTACAGCTGGAACTTAGGTCTAAAAGTAGTTGAGGAATTTGAAATACAGTAGTAAAAAGGATCCACTAAAGGGCCCTTAGCCAGTTGGTGGGCCACTCAACTGGCTCCAACCAGTTGAGCCTCTTGCCTACTGCTCCAACCACTCCTCCATGGCCCTTGCGTATGAGGTGGGGCAAAGACCTGACAGCCTTCCAGGTGCCTTCTGGTAGCTTATCTTACAAAACAGAAATGAGACCTGTTTTGAAGCATGGCCCTTTCAACAGGTCACTGTTCACTTTGACAAGATGCTGACCACTAATGCCAAGCTCCGGAAGGAGATTGAAGACCTACGATTTGAGAAGGCTGCTTATGACAATGTCTACCAGCAGCTCCAGCACTGCCTGTTGATGGAGAAGAAAACCATGAACTTGGCCATTGAGCAATCTTCTCAGGCCTATGAGCAGAGGTGGGCTGGGGATAGGTCCAGGGGCAGCGAGGTCTCTTAGCCCCTTGCTGAGCATCTAGCTTCCTACTCTGGGCCACCACTGTCCCTGGTCGTTATGTGTTGGGGAATCTTAAATCATAGTAGTAATAATTCTGAGCACTGACTGTGTGCCAGGCATGATGCTAGGTACTCTGGTGGGTATTGTTTTAACTCTCACAACTGCCCTAGGAATTATTATCCCCATTTTACAGACTGGAATGTGCAGGCTTAGAGATGCTAAAATGCCTACCTGAGATCCAGGTAAGTGGTGATTGTGGTGAAGTTGAGATTCAAACCTCTGTGCTGTACCATCTCCTCCAAGTGCCCCTGCCTCTAGTCCAAGGGGATCTTTCTCAATCTGGGTCTCTGCTGGCTTCACACTCATAGGAGCAAAAGGCATATAGTTTGGCTGTGAAGGGCGTAGCCTTCAGAGTCAGATCTGGGTTTAAATCCTGGTTTCATCACTACTGTATTGTTGTAGGAGCTCTTTAGATGGTAAAGAGGATTAAATAATATATAAATGTAAAGTAGTGCCTGGGACACAGTAATTGATAAGTGGTGATGATGGTGGTGACGATAATGATGGTAATGATGGTGATATGGTGATGGTGATGATGGTTATAGTGATGGGGTGGTGATGGTGATGGTGGTGATGATAGTGGTGATAATGATGATGGTGGTGATGATGATGGTGACAATGATGATGGTGATGGTAGTGATGGTGATAATGGTGATGGTGATAGTGGTAATGGTGGTGGTGGTGATGATGATGATGGTGATGCTGAAGGCAATGATGATGATAATGATGGAAAATCATTTCTGGGAGTGATCTAGAGCTTACAGCTCCTGTTGTTCAGGTAAGGAGGATTGTTTTTACACACCGAGAAACCTTTATGATAAATAAAAGTGATAGTCATTCTCTAGGCAGGAAGGCCTTCTGGACTGGCAGGGAAAGGGAAGTAGAGAGGAGGAGCCTCAGATGCTCAGGCTCTGTACTCCCTTTGCCCAGGGTGGAGGCCATGGCTCGAATGGCTGCCATGAAAGACCGCCAGAAGAAGGACACCTCTCAGTACAACCTGGAGATCCGAGAGCTGGAGCGTCTCTATGCCCATGAGAGCAAGCTCAAGTCCTTCCTGCTCGTCAAGCTGAATGATCGCAATGAATTCGAGGAGCAGGCCAAAAGGGAGGAAGGTACACCCTCCAGGAGCAAGCTTGTGCTCTCTCACTCTCTTTCTTGCCTTCTTTCTCTCTTTCTCTCTTTTTAAGTGAAGGTGCCCAAGTCTCCTTGTGGTTGTCAAATTTAGCAAATAAAGATATAAGATGCCTAGTTAAGGTTGTGCATGGTGGCTCACGCCTGTAATCCCAGCACTTTGGGAGGCCAAGGCAGGCTGATCATTTGAGGTCAGGAATTTGAGAACAGCCTGACCAACATGGTGAAACCCCGTCTCTACTAAAAATACAAAAAAATTAGCTGGACATAGTGGTGAGTGCCTGTAATCCCAGCTACTTGGGAAGCTGAGGCAGGAGAATCACTTGAACCCAGGAGGCAGAGGTTGCAATGAGCCAAGATCATGCCACTGCACTCCAGCCTGGGCAACAGAATAAGACTCTCAAAAAAAAAATGCCTAGTTAAATTTAAATATCAAATAAACAATAAATAAATGTTTAGGATAACTATGTCTCATGCAGCATTTGGGACATACTTATGATAAAACTTTTTTGTTTATCTATAATTGGGACATATTTATACTTAAAAATATATTTGTCTGAAATTCAAATTTAACTGAGAACCCTCTATTTTATCTGCCAACCCTAATTTACAGCATGTGTCTTCATCTGGGACTCTCTTTCTATTATTTAGAAGGAGACTTATTGTCAGGGGTCCCCAGGTTCATCTCTAGGTTTGATGATTCACTAGCATATCTCGCAGGACTCAGCACTGAGGCACATTCATGGCTGTGATGCATTACAGTGAAAAGGCACCAAGCAAGATCAGCACAGGGAGAAGGTGTGTGGTCCGGCGTCTGGAGGAAACTGGGCGCAAGCTTCCAAGTACAGTCACACTGAGCACACATGGTTCTTTCAGGATCTGTGACCACACATCATGTCAAGAGTTATCTACTAGGCTGGGCATGGTGGCTCATGCCTGTAATCTCAGTGCTTTGGGAGGCCAAGGCGGGAGGATCACTTGAGGCCAGGAGTTTGAGACTGGCCTGGGCAAATGAGCAAGACCCCATCTCTACAATGAATAAAAAAAAATTAGTTGGGCATAGTGGTACATGCCTGTGGTCCCAGCTACTCTGGAGACTGAGATGGGAGGATGGCTTGATCTCAGAAGGTCTGATGGTGACAAGGTGCTGAGGGGTAGAAAAAAGCAGATCCTAAGTCCAGGAGTTTGAGGCTGCAGCAAGCTATGATTGCGCCACTCCAGCCTGGGTGACAGAGTGAGACCCTGTCTCTTAAAAAAAAAAAGGTTATCTCATAGTGGGGTATACTAGAGATTCAGTACCCCAAATTCTTACTGGGGGCTGGTCGTGTAGACACCCTCTGCCTAGCACATACCAAAATTCTAGACACTCAGAGGAAAAGCAGGTGTTTGGGATAAACTGCTGGGCATGGTGGCACTTGCCTGTGGTCTCAGCTACTGGGGAGTCTGAGGTGGGAGGATCGCCTGAGCCTCCCCAGAACAGTGGGGAGCCACAACCTGTAAAAAGGTCACATGGTCAGGTGTGCCTAAACGATCCTTTTATTTATTTATTTATTTATTTTTAAGAAACAGGGTCTAGTTCTTTCTCCCAGGCTGGAGTGCAGTGGTGTGACAGTCACAGCTCACTTCAGCCTTGACCTCTTAGGCCCAAGCCATCCTCCCACTTTGCCCTCCCGAGTAGCTAGGACCACAGGCATTCAACACGACACTTGGCTAATTTTAAATTTTTTTTTTTTTTTTTTTAAGACGGAGTCTTGCTCTGTCACCCAGGCTGGAGTGCAGTGGCGCAATCTCGGCTCACTGCAACCTCCACCTCCTGGGTTCAAGTGATTCTCCTGCCTCAGCCTCCTGAGTAGCTGGGACTACAGGCACATGCCACCACACCCAGCTAATTTTTGTATTTTTAGAAGAGACGGGGTTTCACCATGTTGGCCAGGATGGTCTCAGTCTCTTGACCTCGTGATCCACCTGCCTTGGCCTCCCAAAGTGCTGGGATTACAGGCGGGAGCCACTGCACCCGGCCTAATTTTAAAAATTTTTTGTAGAGGTGGGGTCTTGCTATGTTGTCCATGCTGGTCTTGAACTCCAGGGCTCAACCCCTGTGCTGGGATTACAGGTGTGAGCTACCATGCCCGGCCAGGGCAGGGATTTTGTATCAGCAGTGCCTAGCACAGTGTGTGACTCATAGTAAATGCTTCTTGAGATATTTGTGAAATGAATGATGGGTGAAGCTTCTGCTCTATCTCCTGGAAACATCTAGCCTCATCCCTAAAGCATACTACTATATATATATTTTTTTGTTTGTTTGTTTGTTTTTTGTTTGCTTGTTTGTTTGTTTGTTTTTTGAGATGGAGTCTTGCTCCATCGCCCAGGCTGGAGTGCAGTGGCGCAAACTTGGCTCACTGCAACCTCTGCCTCCCAGGTTCAAGCAATTCTCCTGGCTTAGCCTCCCATGTAGCTGGGATTGCAGGCATGTGCCACCACACCTGGCTAATTTTTGCATTTTTAGTAGAGACGGGGTTTCGCCATGTTGGCTAGGCTGGTCTCGAACTCCTGACCTCAGGTGATCTGCCTGCCTCGGCTTCCCAAAGTGTTGGGATTACAGGCGTGAGTCACCATGCCTGGCCACAATAATATTGATCACGTTACTGTCTGCCTGGCACGGATCTGAGGAGCTTCCTTTTGAGTGTCACAGTGGCTGATTTTTCCTTTCCTAGCTCTCAAGGCAAAGAAGCATGTCAAGAAGAACAGGGGAGAGAGTTTTGAGAGCTATGAGGTGGCCCACCTCCGGCTGCTGAAGCTGGCTGAGAGTGGGAACCTAAACCAGCTCATTGAAGATTTTCTGGCCAAGGAGGAGAAGAATTTTGCTCGGTTCACGTATGTCACGGAGCTCAACAACGACATGGAGATGATGCACAAGAGGACCCAACGAATCCAGGTCAGGGCGGCTCTGCTTTCCCAGGCCCTGGGCCCCTGTGTCCACAGCAGCCTTTCCAGGGCAGTCTCCTAGGAAGGCTCTGTGAGAGGCACTACAGAAAGCAGTTTGGCCAACACCGCTCTATTCCCCTTACATTTTATGTTTGAGACAGGATCTTACTCTGTCACCCAGGCTGGAGTGCAGTAGTAGTGCGATATTGGCTCACTGCAGTCTCAACCTCCCAGGCTGAAATGATCCTTGCATCTCAGCCTCCTGAGTAGCTTGGACTACAGGTGTGCACCACCATGCCTGGCTAATTTTTGTATTTTTTGTAGAGTTGGGATTTTGCCATGCAAGGCTGGTCTCGAACTCCTGACCTCAAGCAATCCTCCCACCTTGGACTCCCAAAGTACTGAGATTACAAGTGTGAAACGTTGCACCCAGTGTCCCCTTACTTTTTATTTGTATTTTTTTTGAGACGGAGTCTTGCTCTGTCATCCAGGCTGGAGTGCAGTGGCATGATCTTGGTTCACTGCAACCTCCACCTCCCCGGTTCAAGAGATTCTCCTGCCTCAGCCTCTGGAGTAGCTGGGACTACAGGTGCCCGCCACGACGCCCTGCTATTTTTTTTTTTTTTTTTTGTATTTTTAGTAGAGATGGGGTTTCATCATGTTGGCCAGGCTTGTCTCAAACTCCTGGCCTCAAGTGATCCACCTGCCTCAGCCTCCCAAAGTGCTGGGATTATATAGATGTGAGCCACCACACCTGGCCTGTAATTGTCTTTCAATGTATAGATACATTTCATGTATTCATGTCCCCCAACCCAATAGTGACTTTATAATCCATGGCATGTTTTATTAACCAGCATTCAGTAAACTACAGTCCATGGCTATTTCTGTGTAGCCCATGAGCTAAGAATGATTTTTACATTTTTAAAGGATTGTAAGAAGAAAAAAAAAAAAGAGAGAGAGAGAAATATGCAAGAGGGACCTGCAAAGCTGAAAGTATTTCTTATTTGGCCCCTTACCTGACCCTTGTTAATCAACAGTTTCGAGGAGTGAGAACTCATTCTCATCTTGGCGAGACTTGATGCACAGGCCCTGACAAGTCCTGCAGTAAAGAAGCCTGTCTACCTTTGTTGAACCCATAATTTCCCAAATGTCATTGGCTTCCTGGGCTATTTACACACCAGTACATAAATAAACATCCTTTGGAACTGTCTGCATGGAATAGAGTCTAAACCCTTTAGTGTGACATTCCAGCCCCTTCAAAATTTGGCTTCTACCTGCCTTTGCAGACACAGGTCCTGTTATGACCTCCAAGACACCCTCTGCTGCTGCCAGCCCCAGCTGTCCCATGCATTTCCCTCCGCCACTGCCTTCCCGTGCTATTCCCTCTCCCTCCCCTCCTTTTCTCTTCTGATGAAATCCTGCTCATTAGTCCTGACCCTGCACAAATGTCGCCTCCTCTGGGAATTCATTAGTCCTTCTTCTGCAGGCCCTGTCCTCTGCTTACATGATGAGGGGAGCTGCTTTCCTTTGCAATATGTCACTGTTTCCCAAATGTGGGGCATGCACGCTGGCCATGTGCAAACAGATTGCAGCTAGAATATAGGTGAAAACATTTTCATTTACTAGTGATGAATTAATTTTTAAAGGAATAATAGAGCTTGCAGAGCAAACTTGTGATTTAATGGATATTTACTTAGGGTAGTAAGTAATAATAACAGTAAACAAAGAATAATAAACATAATGGCTTGGTTTACAGAAAACTATTATAGATAATAACAGTCCATGTGGCTGCAAAAAATGGAGTGAAGGTGACTTTATCAATTAGGGTTGTCACAGGAAACAGCACAGCCAACATGGGTAAATTGGCCAGGCACAGTGGCTCACACCTGTAATCGCAGCACTTTGGGAGGCCGAGGCGGGTGGATCACCTGAGCTCAGGAGTTCGAGACCAGCCTAGGCAACATAGTGAAACCCTGTCTTTACTAAAAATACAAAAATGAGCTGGGCATAGTGGCCTGCACCTGCAATCCCACTACTTGGGAGACTGAGGCAGGAGAATCCTTTGAACCCGGGAGGTGGAGGTTGCAGTGAGCCGAGATGGCGCCACTGCACTCCAGCCTGGGTGATACAGGGAGACTTCGTCTCAAAAAAAACCAAAAAAAAACCCACCCCAAAAAACCACCAAAACCCAAAAATAAAATGGGTAAATTGAGGAGAGTTTTTAAAAAGGGACTGTTTCCAGACATCTAAGGAAATTAAGAAGGGAGCATGCGGGAGTAGCCAGAGCTCCAGAAATGGGTCAGGGGAGGGAGGAATGAGGATATGGCTGCCTGCTATGCCCTTCCTGGAGGGGTGCAGCCAAATTAGGGACGGGCCCAGGGGGTGGCAAATACCCCAACCTCCCTCTCCTCCCACCCTTTATCTCCCACTTGTGCCTCCCACTGGCTGGGCTACTCAGCAGCCAAGCACAAGGAAGCCCATTGGTGCAAGCCCTGCAGGTCCCAGGCAGGGCATGGGGAGGTGTGGGGTGGGAGGTGCACCCGGGGGTGGGGAAGACAGACTTGAAGGACCCTCATGCCACTCTCTGTCCCCCTCCCGGAAGGAGGTCTTCCTGGACAAGGGTCCAGGACAGGCACAGGAAATGGTTCTTCCCCAGAAATGACCTTGACCTCACATTCACCTTGAGGCTGCTCTCATCCTTTCCTCCTGCAGTCGCACAGCATCTCCTGCACAAGGACAAGTGCAGGTGCTCTGGTTCTCAGTCTCTCTATCTGTAGAATGGCACACACACTTGGACTAGAGGAGTCCTCCAAGTCCAAACTCTTTTTATAAAAAAAGTTTCAAACTTTTATTTAAAAAGCTACAAAACTTTTTTTTTAAATTTTCTTTCTTTTTTTCTTTTTTTGAGACAGAGTCTTGCTCTGTCACCCAGGCTGGACTGTAGTGGCACGATCTTGGCTTACTGCAACCTCCACCTCCCGGGTTCAAGCGATTCTCCTGCCCAGGCTCCAGAGTAGCTGGGACTACAGGCAGAGCCACCACACCTGGCTAATTTTTGTATTTTTAGTAGAGACAAGGTTTCATCATGTTGGCCAGGATGGTCTCGAACGCCTGAACTCAGGTGATCCGCCTGCCTCGGCCTCCCAAAGTGTTGGGATTACAGGGATGAGCCACCACGCCCGGTGGTGGCTTGCTCTGCAAGCTCTATTCTTATACAAAATGTTTTTGTTTAATCCCATGTTATGAGGAAACACTGGTACATAAAACATAGGAAATGGAGCAGACCTGGATGAAGGAGTGGCGGTGGGATGGGCCATGGGAGGGGGCTGGGACCCTACCTTTTTGCCTTCTTCTGGCACCTTTGCTCAGACTAAGGGATCAGGTTAAAAAAATTTTTTTTTAATTAAAAACAATTAGAATTCTAACATCTGACTTCACCCCTCCCTAGAGGGCTGGGGGCGGAGTCTCATAAACTAGCCTCCTGAGTTGCTGGGACTACAGGCGCGCGCCACCACGCCCAGCTAATTTTTGTATTTTTAGTAGAGACGGGGTTTCACCATGTTGGCCAGGATGGTCTCATCTCTTGACCTCGTGATCCGCCCACTTCGGCCTCCCAAAATGCTGGGAATACAGCGTGAGCCACCGCGCCCGGCCCCAGCCTTCTTTTTTAGTTTCGTTTGGTCTCCTCCACCTCCCCAAGTTGTTAAATTCTTAGTGGCAGTGATTTAAAAACCAGGATATTCCACATGAAAGTCTGAATTTCTGGTTTCCCTTGGAAAATCAGATCTGACACCTCCCGCCCACATTCCCGCGGGAATCCGAGTTCCTACAAACGGAGCCATCGGCTCCCTCTTCGCTCACAGAGACCAGCCAGGCTGAAGTGCTCCAGGGCCCGCAGAGCTTAGCGGGCCTTTGAGTTGCTAACTGAGGTTCAGGCGCGTCACCACTGTCCTCTGGCGTCCATTTGCGGTATTGCAGGGAAGGTCTTTGCGGGCAGGCCTGGAAGTGGGCAGGACCCTGAATTCTCGGGTCCCAGTGGGACACCGAGGGAGGACAAGCCCTAGCAGAGGGGTATGAGGACCCCAGCTGAATATCCTGACCTGATAGAAAATATTCCTGAGCTGAATTGGCCTTGATTTTCCCCACTCCTCATAAGGGGACCCTCTTCCTTAGGGTCATGACAAATATGTCTAAGATGGGTAAGCGCTGCCCTCTCTGGGCCTCAGTTTCCCCATCTGTAGAGTGATATTTGGACCAGAACAGTAGCTTCCAAGCTCTTTGTTAAGGTTACAGAACTATGACTTTTTGGGCTCAAATAGATCTGCAAATGCCTGTTGAATAAGTCCAGAGAGCACTGATTTCCAATGGTAAGACTTAATTTTGCAAAAAATGTTATAGGACAAAGATATGCTCACTGTAGAGAATCTGGAAAGCAACTAAGGATGGAAGGAATTTTAAACCACCCACTATCCCATTGCCTGAGACAATCACTGGTGACATTCTGAAATATTTCCTTCCAACTTCCAACTTTTTTTTTGGTCCTTCTTTCCTTCCTTCCTTCCTTCCTTCCTTCCTTCCTTCCTTCCTTCCTTCCTTCCTTCCTTCCTTCCTTCCTTCCTTCGTTTTTCTTTCTTTTTCTTTCTTCTTTTTTTGCAGGATCTCACACTGTCACCCAGGCTGGAGTACAGTGGCTTGATCTTGGCTCACTCCAGCCTCAATCTCCCTGGCTCAGGTGATCGTCTCATCTCAGCCTCCAGAGTGGCTGGGACTACAGGCACACACCACCACACCCAGCTAATTTTTGTATTTTTTGCAGAGATGAGGTTTCAGTGTGTTGCCCAGGCTGGTGTCAATGGTTGTGCTTTTCAAATGTAACATAGTTATTATCATATAAAGTTGTGTATCTGATTGAAGCAAATGTCCTTTTGGTTACTCGTTCATCCAGCAAGTATTTATTGAGCACCTACTGCGTTCCAGACACTGCTCTAGACCCTGATAATGTGGCAGTGAACAGGATGACAAAAAGTTCAGCCCTCACAGAACTGCTGTTTTGGCAGGGAGAAACAGACAATAAACAACAAGCCCAATACTTACGTAAGTTATAGAGTAAGTTAGAAAGGGAGATGCAGTGTGGGTAAAAAGATGAAGTCGCACAGCGTAAGACGGGTTTTGGAGCCGGTTGGGGCCCCGGGCAGTTGAGAAGTTAAGATCTGAGTGAACTTACAGGTGAAGGATTGAGCTGTCCAGATCTCTGGGGAAGAACGCTCCAGGCAGAGGAAACAGCAACAGCACACGCAAAGGCCCTGACGCAGCTTGCAAGCAGGCCAGGGTGTCTGGCGCACAGAGAGAGACATGGGAGGGAGAGGGGATGAATCTGGGAGGTGAGGGCTGCTGGGCACATTTCCAGAAGAGGTTTTGGCCATTTCTCAGAGAGGCAGGGGCCATGGGAGATCTCCGAGCAGGGGAGCGGTGCCATCGACTCAGGTTATTGATGCAATTTGCAAAATAGTAAAAAGTCTCAATGTGAATCCCATCACCTGGATATGGCATTGGTTCATCTTTTTGGTAGAGATCCCCCACCCCACCCCTGCCCTGTAAAGATCGGAAGACTCACTTCCTTTCTTTTTTCCTTTTTCCAAAATCATATATTTTTTTCCGATTAGAATTTTTTTTCACAATTTGGAAAATACTAAAAAGTATAAATACAACCTCCAAATCAGGAATAATTCCATCACACGGACATAGCATTGTTTCATCTTTTTGGTAGAGTTCTTTCTGCTTTTTTAAAAATTAAAAATTTTTAGCACTTTGGGAGGCCGAGGTGGGCGGATCACTTGAGCCCAGGAGTTTGAGACCAGCCTGGGCAACATGGCGAAACCCCATCTCTACAAAAAATACAAGACACAAAAAGAAATTAGCTGGGTGTGATGGTGTGTGCCTCTAGTCCCAGCTACTCAGAAGGCTGAAGTGGGAGGATTGCTTGAGCCTGGGAGGTCGAGGCTGTAGTGAGCCAAGATCGCACCACTGCACTCCATCTGGGCAAGAGAGCAAGACCCTGTCTCAAAAAAAAAAAAATTTAAAAATTAAAGGAGATGAGCCTTCCAATCTTTACAGGGGGAAAAAAAGCAAGATAGAGCTCTTACCAAAAACATGAAGCAATGCTATGTTAGGAGATGGGATTCTTCCTGATTTGGGTTTGTATTTGTTCTTTGTAGAATTTTCCAAATTGTGTAAATATATTATTATACACCTGTGGGAAAGTGTAGGCAATTCAGAAAAACATAAAGAAAAAGTAAAAGTCACCAAGATATCATGACCTGGAGATAATTAACATTTTATTGACACTGCTTTATGAAGGCAGTGTGTGGTTACACGTTTGCACACATAGACAGACACACACACACACGCCCATTTACAAGCCTGTTTGTAGTACTAGATCATACTAGACAGTTCATGCTATTCTGTAAACGTTTTGTTTCCCAACAACTTACCATAGATACCTCCCAACATCTTCTATTTTTTTCCTCCTTTTCTTTTTTTTTTTTTTTTTTTTTTGAGACAGGATCTTGCTCTATCGCCTGGCTGGAGTGCAGTGGCGGGATCTCGGCTCATTGCAACCTCCGCCTCCTGGGCTCAAGGGATTCTCCTACCTCAGCCTCCCGAGTATCTGGGGACTACAGGCATGTACCACTACATCTGGCTAATTTTTGTATTTTTTTGTAGAGATGGAATATCACAATATTGCCCAGGCAGGTCTCAAACTCCTGGGCTCAAGTGATCTGCCCACCTTGGCCTCCCAAAGCACTGGGATAACAGGCATGAGCCACCATGCCCAGCCTGCTGTGTTTTTTTAATGGCTTCTGGAGACCCTAGATGCTCTGTAGCATGGAATCACAAGATGCTTCTTAAAAATGCACATTCCAGGCTGGGTGTGGTGGCTCATGCCTGCAGTCCCAGCTACTCAGGAGGCTGAGATGGGAGGATCGCTTGAACCCGAGAGGCAGAGGTTGCAGTAAGCTGAGATCACACCACTGCACTCCAGCCTGGGCAACAGAGCAAGAGCTTGTCTCAAAACAAACAAACAAACAAACAAACAAACAAACCAAAAAACAAAAAAAATGCATTCCTGTCCAGGCACAGTGGCTCACACCTGTAATTCCAGCATGTTGGGAGGCTGAGGCAGGAAGATTACTTGAGCACTGGAGTTCAAGACCAGCCTGGGCAACATAGTGAGACTCCGTGTCTACAGAAAAATTTTTAAAAAATTAGTCAGGCATGTGCCTGTGGTCCCAACTGCTTGAGAGGCTGAGATGGGAGGATCGCAGTCAAGGCTTCAGTGAGCCGTGATTATGCCACAGCACTTCAGCCTGGGTGACAGAGAGAGACCCTTTCTCAAAAAAAAAAAAAAAAAAAAAGAAGAAGAAGAAAAGCACATTCCCCAGAACCCCTCCCATACCTACAGACATAGCTTCTCTGTGGATGGGCCAGGAATCTGCATTTTAGCCATATTTTAACCCAAGACCCTCTCCCCTGTTTTATGAATGTGCCATCATTAACTGACCCCCTATCAGTAGACATTTGATTGTCCCCAACTGGGGGCCACTATAAACAAGAATACAACAGACAGCCCTGAGGGTCCACCTTTGCCGACCTGTTCTGTTATTTCCATGGGACAGACTCCTAGGCATGAGATTGGTCGGTCGAAAGGTGTGAGCTTTTTTCTATCAGAGCACATGGTTTAAGCCCAGTGGTTCTCAAAGCTGGTCCCTGGGACAGCAGTGGCAGCATCACCTGGGAACTTGTTAGAAATGTACATTCTTAGGCCCCACCCAGACCAACAGAATCGGAAGCCCTGGGCATGGGTTCTGGCATTCTGCATTTTCACAAGCCTCCAGGTGACTCTGGAGAGTCTGAGAGTATGCTCAGGTTTGAGAACTCCCACTCCACAGCCACACTCTTCAATACCATAGCCACCAGCCACGTGTGGCTTTTTAAGTTACATTAACTGAAATTAAACAATATCTAAAAATTAGTTCATCAGAGGTTGGGCACAGTGGCTCTGTGCCACTGTGGGCCTGTAATCCCAGCACTTTGGGAGGCTGAGGCGGAAGGATTGCTTGAGTGTAGGAGTTCGAGACCAGCCCGGGCAACATAGTGAGACCCCCCATCTCTATAAAAATAAAAAAAGAAAAAAAAGAAAAATTAGTTCCTAGTGGCACCAGTCATATTTCAAGTGCTCAGCACCATGTGGCTAGTGACTACAGTATTAGGGTGGATAGGACATTACCATCAGAACAGAAAATTCTATTGACTGCATTGTTCTAGAATTTTCCAGAAGAGGCTGAGGCGGGCGGATCGCCTGAGGTCAGGAGTTTGAGACCAGCCTGACCAATATGGTGAAGCCCCCATCTCTAGTAAAAATACAAAAAGCTGGGCTTGGTGGTGCGTGCCTGTAGTCCCAGCTACTCAGGAGGCTGGGGCAGGAGAATCGCTTGAACCTGGGAGATCTAGGAGGTTGCAGTGAGCCAAGATTGTGCCATTGCACTCCAGCCTAGGCATCGCAGCGAGACTTCATCTCAAAAAAAAAAGATAAAGAAAGAAAGGATGACTCACCCCTCCCACCCCCTTTCATGCTCTCACCCTCCTTTTACTTAAGAAACATCAGAAGAAAAAAAAATAATAACCCCACGGGCCTAAGAGGGGCCCAGGTGTTTGGGGCTCTTTGAAACGGATCATTGAAATCCTCATCGACTCTTTGAGGCGCACACTTATTTTTGGGAGCAGTGGGGAGGGAAGAGCCCACTTTTCCTCATGGTCTTGTTCTCTCCCGAGCAGGACGAGATCATCCTCTTGCGATCCCAGCAGAAATTGTCCCACGATGACAACCACTCTGTCCTGAGACAGCTGGAGGTGAGAACAGGATCGGGAGGGAGGGATGCGGGAGCTTCTGTTGTCTGTCTCTGTGTCTGACGGGAGCTTCTGTCTGTCTGTCCGTCGGGCATCTGTCAGCTGCTTCTCAGGAGCAGTAAGAGGTCTGCCCCATGACTCAGGCTGGCCTGGATCACATCCAGACATGTCCTGACGTTTTGTCCCGGGCAGCCTCTGCTACAATGTCATTGTGGAATTCTGTCCCTTCTTCCATTCTAAAGCCCCCACCCCCCTTTTCAGGGAGTCCAGCCCGGGCTCTTGGGCCTGCAATTTCATCCCTGATGGGCTCCTTCCACATGGATCTCTGCCTCTTTCCCTCTTTCTTCCCCTTGTCCTGCCTGTGCCCTGTTCTCAATCAGTAATAGCAAATACACACACTTCTGGAGTAATTACCATGTACGAGGCGCCGGGCTAAGAGCTTGGCTTGCACTTTCATTGAATCCTGGTGGCAGGTGCTGTTGATCTCGTCGTTTTACAGATGCAGAGGCTAAGGTTCACGGAAGTTAAGTCACTTGACCAACATCAAGGAGCTGGGATATTGTATACGTTTTGAGCTTTATTCAGCTGCTAATAATAGGGACTCCAAATAATAGTGGCTTAAGCAAGATACAAGTTTATTTACTTTAAGAAATAAGTCTGCCACCCTGGTGAAACCCCATCTCTACTAATAATACAAAAATTAGCCAGGTGGTAGTGGCGCACACCTGTAATCCCAGCTACTTGGGAGTCTGAGGCAGGAGAATTGCTTAAGCCTGGGAGGTGGAGGTTGCAGTGAGCCGAGATCGTGTCACTGCACTGGGCAACACAGTGAGACCCTGTCTCAAAAAAAAAAAAAAAAAGGAAATAAGTCTGGAAATAGGCACTTCAGGGCTGGTATGGCACCTTTATGATGTCATCAGTGACCTGGGCTCCGTCTTTCTGTTTTGCCATCCTTAGTGGGTGACTTATATTCCAAGGGCACCTCATGGTTGCATCGTAGCTGCCATAGATCCAGCCGTTGCATATACATTCCAGATAGGAAGAAAGTGGGAGCTGCAACAACAACAACAAAAATCCTCACTAGCAGAGTCAGACAGCTTAAAAGTGCCTTCCCAGAAGTCTCAGCCAATGACTTCTGTATTTAAACTTCATTGGCCACCCCTATTGCAAGAGAGGTTTGGAAATGTAACTTTTAGTTGGTCACATTGCCACCCTAAATACAATCAGAGTTTTGTTACTGAGGTATAAGGAAAGAGTGGATAGCATATGTCTGACAAAGACCTGGCAACTGCCCTCCGGAGTCATTTCCCTTCCCTTCTTTGCGGCTGTTTTCTGCTTTTTTTGTCTGACGCGCACCTGGGAGACAGGGATGGCCGCCAGGGTGTTATTCTCCTCTAGGCCACTGGATGGCAGCAAAGCACATGCTGCCCATTGAGGTGCTCAGAGCGGCATCTCCCGGATATCTGGGTATGGGGAATAACAGGGTTCCAGGCAGGGTCCAGGTCCACGGAGACCCTCCCCAAGCTGGGCAGATGCCTGGGGCCCACGTCCTTCACTCGGGGCCACCCAGAATCCAGACTCTTGTTGAGGTTGAGACTGGCGCCCCTCTACATCTTGGCGTTTGGAACAGGCTGATCAGGCAAAGCCAAACATCTCCCTCGCCTCTGCCTGAAGCCCCACCGCTAGCTTTTTGTTACTTTGGCTTTAGCATGACTTTGAGGGGCTTCTTTTCAAATGCAGATACTCTAAGCAGGATAATTGTTTTTGTTTGTTTCTTTGTTTGTTTAGACGGAGTCTTACTCTGTTGCCCAGGCTGGAGTGCAGTGGCGCGATCTCCGCTCACTGCAACGTCCACCTCCCGGGTTCAAGCGATTCTCCTGCCTCCGCCCCCGAGTAGCTGGGATTACAGGTGCACACCACCATGCCGAGATAACTTTAATTTTTAATTTATTTTTTAATTTTAATTAATTAATTAATTAATTTTGAGACGGAGTCTCGCTCTGTCGCCCAGGCTGGAATGCAGTGGCACGATCTCGGTTCACTGCAACCTCCACCTCCCGGGTTCATGCGATTCTCCTGCCTCAGCCTCCCGAGTAGCTGGGATTACAGGCACGTGCCACCATACCCGGTTAATTTTTTGTATTGTTAGTAGAGACGGGGTTTTACCATGTTGGCAAGGCTAGTCTCCAACTCCTGACCTTAGGTGATCCGCCCGCCTTGGCCTCCCAAAGTGCTGGGATTATAGGCGTGAGTCACTGTGCCTGGCCAGAATCAGTCTTGATAGCAATAGACTCACAGATGTTTCCTACCCCCTGCTAAAGATCACTTCCACCTGCTCTATTCTTGAAACCCTTTATTTCATCATCTCCTTCCCTTTGGGAGAAGTGGTGGGACCACATCCATCATGGGAGGGTTTTGCATAGGAATTAAGCAACCAAGCTCTGGGAGCCTGGCTATGACTTGCAGAAAAGTCACTTCCTAGCTCTGTGACGTTGAGGTAGTGACTCAACCTCTCTGAGCCTCAGTTTCCACATCTGTAAAATGGGGATAATAATCATACCTACTTCTTAGGGCTGTGAAGGTTGAATAAAATCACACATGTATACATTTGGCACACTGTAATGCAGAGAGCTGTACATTGTAGCTATTATTATTGTTGTTGTTATCATGTGAGCCAGAAAAACTGGTAAGTCACCCTCACTTTGTTACTAAATAATTGCCAAAGTGAAGAGTTGAGCTCAAGGTCAAGCCTTTGGATGAGCTTGGTACAGGGAAGCTAAACCTGAATTCACTTTTCTTCTCTGGCCTCAACATTCCTCATCTGAAAACTAGGCCGATTATGAGGCTGAGTTCAGATGATGTGTGTAAAGTACCTGGAATATTTTAGGAGCTAGACATGTATTATAACCACCACATCAAGCTGAACATTGACTTTTAAAAAATGAATCCTGTGATTTTTTTAAAATTGTGATTTTCTTAAATGCACTTTTATTATAATTTATTTATTTTTTGAGACAGAGTCTTGCTCTGTCGCCCAGGCTGGAGTGCAGTGGTGGGATCACAGCTCACTGCAGCCTCAACCTCCCAGGCTCAAGTGACTCTCCCACCTTAGCCTCCTAGTGTGCTGGGATTATAGGCGTGAGCCACCATGCCTGGCCTAATGCATCTTTAGAAAGGGCCGCTCTTGTCATATGGGAAATTTGCAGCCCTGGGAACTAAACATTCTAGTAGCCGGGTGGAGGAAGCCACCTGATGTGCTGGTTGAGAGACTGAGCTCAATTCCTGGCTTCCTTCTCCTGGCTGTATGCCTCAGAGCCTCAGTTTTCTCACCTGTAAAATAGGGGTGTGAATAGGGCCGACCCCTTGAGATCATTATCCGGGATGGTGCGTGCAGAGTTCACCAGTGGGAATGGGGCTGGTTCACCCAGGGTCCAGTTCACCTTTGCAAGCTAAGATCTCTGAGGGAGAGGCAGGAATCAGGGAAGGAAATACCCTAGAACAGTGATCCTCAGTCCAGCTGCACGTCACAATCACCTGGGAGGCTTTAATGAGAACTCCCAGATGCCCAGGCTGCGCCCCAGGCCAATTAAGACTCTGAATCACTGAGGGTGGAGTTGGGCAGCAAATATTTTTAAAGTTCCCAGGTGATACCAGTGTGAAGCCAAGGCTGAGATCCAACAGGCTGGCAGAGCTTCTCAGACTTTACTGTGCACCAGGATCACCGGGAGGCTTGCTAAAACCAGGTGGCCTGGTCCACCCCCAGGGCCTTTGACTGAGTAAGACTGAGGTGGGGGCCAAGAATATGCATTTCTAACAAGTTCCCAGGTGAAGCTGATGCTGCTTGTCCTGGGACCACACTTTAAGAACCACTGGGCTAGGGCAATGTGTTTTAAACTGTGAATGGTAAAATCAGTTTATTGGATGGTAGCCAACATTTTAAAATAGTGAGATAGAACAGAACAGAAGAGAAAATATTAGAACACATAATAAAAATATTGATTCGAGGCTGGGTGCAATGGCTCACATCTGTTAATCCCAGAACTTTGGGAGGCTGAGGCAGGAGGATCATTTGAGCCCAGGAGTTTGAGACCAGCTTGGGCAACATGGTAAGAACTTGTCTCTAATTTTATTAAAAAAAAAAAAAAAGAATATTGATTTGAACTGGCATGGTGGCTCACACCTGTAATCCCAGCACTTTGGGATACTGAGGCAGGAGGATTTCTTCAGCTCAGGAGTTCAAGACCAGTCTGGGCAACACAGCAAGATCCCATCTCTACAAAATTAAAAAAAAACCCAAAAACTTAGCTGGGTGTGGTGTTGCATGCTTGTAGTCCCATCTGCTCATGAGGCTGAGGCAGGAGGATCACCTGAGTCCAGGAGTTCAAGGCTGCAGTGAGCTATGATCACATGACTGCACTCCAGCCTGGGTGACAGAGCAAGACCCCAACTGTGCTTTTTTAAAATATTGATTTGTGAAATTTTATATTCATTTGATTAGATAATATGGATAAATCTACATACACAACATACGTATGTATGTTTGTATGTGTTGGCTGCAATGTATTTCTTCCTGTGGACCACCTTGTTTTTTTTTTTTTTTTTTGAGATAGAGTCTCGCTCTGTCACCCAGGCTGGAGTGCAGTGGCATGATCTCGGGCTCACTGCAATTTCCGTCTCCTGGATTCAAGCAATTCTCCTGCCTCTTCCCCAGTAGCTGGAATTACAGGCACATGCCACCATGCCCAACTAATTTTTGTATTTTTAGTAGAGACAGGGTTTCACCATGTTGGCCAGGATGGTGTTGAACTTCTGGCCTCAGGTGGATCACCATTTTTTAAAAAATGAGTGAACTGGCTGAGCGAGGTGGCTCATGCCTGTAATCTCAGCACAATGGGAGGCCAAAGTGGGAGGATTGCTGGAATCCAGGAGTTCGAGACCAGCCTGGGCAACGTGGTGAAACCCCATCTCTAAAAAAAATACAAAAATTAGCTGGGCATGGTGGCGTCTGCCTGTAGTCCCAGCTACTCTGGAGGCTAACGTGGGAGGATAGCTTGAGTGCAGGAAGTTGAGGCTGCAGTGAGCCGAGATTGGGCCACTGTACTCCAGCCTGGAGCCTAGGTGACAGAGTGAGACCTTGTCTCAAAAATAAATAAATAAAAATTAAAGAGTCAACAGCTTTTAAAAAATATTGTAGGCTGGGCGTGGTGGCTCATGCCTGTAATCTCAGCACTTTGAGAGGCCAACGTGGGCAGATCACTTGAGATCAGCAGTTTGAGAGCAGCCTGCGTCTCTACTAAAAATACAAAAAAAAAAAAAAAAAGTTAGCTGGGCATGGTGGCACCTGCTTGTAATCCCAGCTACTTGGGAGGCTGAGGCATGAGAATTGCTTGAACCTGGGAGGCAGAGGTTGCAGTGAGCTGAGATCATGCCACTGCACTCTGGCCTGGGTGACAGAGTGAGACTCTGTCTCAAAAAAAAAAAAAAAAAATTCGTAATCCTGTAGACATGTAGACACACATAGACAAGTAAGTGAAGCAAAACTTACATTGAACAATATTTACTATTACGACCCTCAATGTACACTAGTATTTTTTCTTCTCTCCCTTTCATTGCTATTCTATTTTATTTTATTTCTTTAAAATTTGATGGGAACCCATTTAATTGATCTCGTGTCCCCTCAGAGGTTTGAAAACCCGCAGTTTGGAGACCCTGACCCCAGAGGGTCCCAAACACCCTGCCCACTGAAAGTCCTCCTGAGCAGGTGGGAATTGGGGTCTGCCACCAGGATAAACTGAGGAAGACCACGGAGGAGGCAGATATGTATGAGAGCAAGTACGGGGAGGTCAGCAAGACCTTGGATCTATTGAAGAACTCAGTGGAGAAACTGTTCAAGAAGATAAACTGTGACGCCACCAAGATCCTGGTGCAGTTAGGGGAGACGGGGAAAGTCACTGACATCAACCTTCCGCAGTATTTTGGTGAGTCAAGCTGGGGCCCGTTGGAGTCTTAGGAAACATTTCCAGAACTTTCTGTGACTGAGCATAAGGCCTTGCTCTTATGGAGTAGTGAGCTTTGTGGCAAAGTGTGTGGGCACTAAAGCCAGCCTGCCTGGGTTTGAATCCTGGGTCTACACTTACCAGCTCTGGAGCCTTAAGCAGGTTTGTTTTTTGGTTTTGCTTTGTTTCTTTTGAGACAGGGTCTTGCTCTGTTGTCCAGGCTGGAGTGCAGTGGCCCAATCATGGCTCACTGCCATCTCAACCTACTGGGCTCAGGCGATCCTCCCACCTCAGCCTCCAAAGTAGCTGGGACTACAGCCATGCACCACCATACACGGCTGATTTTTTGTATTTTTTGTAGAGACAGGATCTTGTCACATTGCCCAGGCTGGTCTCAAACTCCTTTGCTCAAGTGATCCGCCCTCCTTGGCCTCCCAAAGTGCTGGGATTACAGGTATGAGCCACTGCACCTGGCCAGGGCAGGTTTCTGAACCTCACTGTGCTTCAGATTTTTGATCGACAAAAATGGGTCTCTTTTAATGCCTTCTTTTTTTTTTTTTTTTAAATTGGTGTGAACCCAGTATCTACCTCATAAGACTGTTGGGAGGCTTAAATAAATGTATAGTTATTAGAGAAAAATGATATTATCATATCAATAAATGTAGAAGCATTTGATAAAATTCAACATCCATTCATGATTTTAAAAAAGAAAACTCTCGGCAAACTAGAACTAGAAGGAAACTTTCTTAACTTGATAAAAGACATCTACAAAAAACCACCCAAAACTAGGCCAGGCACAGTGGCTCACACCTGTAATTCCAGCACTTTGGGAGGCCGAGGCGGGCAGATCACTTGAGGTCAGGAGTTCAAGACCAGACTGGCAAACATGGTGAAACCCTGTCTCTACTAAAAATACAAAAATTAGCTGGGTGTGGTGGTGTACACTGTAGTCCCAGATACTCGGGAGGCTGAGGCAGGAGGATTGCTTGAACCTGAGAAGTGGAGGTTGTAGTCAGTCAAAATTGTGCCACTGCACTCCAGCCTGGGTAACAGAGCAAGACTCTGTCTCAAGCAAACCAAAAAAATAATAATAATAACACCCAAAACTACAGCGAATCTTATCCTTCCTGGTGGGAGTGGGAAGTGGAATGTTTTTCTCCTAAGATCAGGAACAAGGAAGGGATGTCTGCGTGCTGTCACCATGCCTATTCAGTGCTGTACTGGAGGCCCTAGCCAATGCAATAAAGCACGGAAAAGAAATAAAAGGCACACAAATTAGAAAGGAAGGAATAAAGTGCTCAGAGTAGTGCCTGGCATGTAGCAAATCTATTAGCAATCACATACATTTCTAGGCATTGACCCTAAGCTCAGAGAGGACAGGGAGGGGCATACCTGCATAGATCCTGACAATTTGGAATGAATGGCTTCCACTGCTCCTTGAATTAAACCTCAGATTCTTTTTTTTTTTTTTTTCGAGATGGAGTCTCACTCTGTCACCCAGGCTGGAATGCAGTGGCGCGATCTCAGCTCCCTGCAACCTCTGACTCCCTGGTTCAAGTGATTCTCCTGCCTCAGCCCCCCAAGTAGCTGGGATTATAGGCACACGCCACCACGCCCAGCTAATTTTTGTATTTTTAGTAGAGATGGGGTTTCACCATGTTGGCCAGGATGGTCTCGATCTCCTGACCTCGTGATCCACCCACCTTGGCCTCCTAAAGTGCTGGGATTACAGGCGTGAGCCACTGCGCCCAGCCAAACATCAGATTCTTAGTACACTCTGTGTTTGGGAGGTTCCCCAAACACATTCTAGCCTCCTGGCCACATTCAGTGATTTGCTAGAGGACTTCCAGGACTCAGTATATAGTCACACATATGGCTATGATTTATTACAGTAAAAGGGTACAGAACAAAATTGGCAAAGCAATGTGTTAGTGTGAACCATGTGATAAACCATATAGTGCAAACTATTTAGGCATGGTGAGACACTCTTTTAAAATTTTTTTTAAATTTTGTGGGTACATGGTGTGTATTTTGTAGGGTACATGAGATATTGTGATTCAGGCATGCAGCGCACAACAATCACATCATGGAAAACGGGGCGTCCATCCCCTCAAGCATTTATCTTTTGTGTTACAAACAATTCAATTATACTCTTTTAGTTATTTTAAAATGTACAATTACATTATTTTGACTATAGTCACCCTGTTATGCTATCAAATACTAGTTCTTATTATTTTATCTATTTATTTATTTTTATTTTTTTTTGTAGATATGGGGTCTCGCCATGTTGCCCAGGCTGGCCTCGAACCCCTGTACTCAAGTCATCCCGCTGCCTTGGCCTCCCAAAGTGCTGGGATTACAGGCAGGAGCCATTGTGCCCAGTCTTGCTCATTCTTTCTGTTTTTTTGTATTCATTAACCAGCCCCACCTCCCTCCCACCTGCCACTGACCTTCCCAGCCTCTGATAACCATCCTTCCAGTCTCTATCTCCATGTGTTCATTGTTTTTCATCCTGCAGATAAGTGAGGGCGTGTGAAGTTTGTCTTTCTGTGCCTGGCTTATTTCAGTTAACATAATGACCTCCAGTTCCATCCATGTTGTTGCAAATGACAGGATCTCATTCTTTTTTTGTACATATACATCATGTATATGTACCACATTTTCTTTCTCCTTCCTTCCTTCCTTCATTCCTTCCTTTCTTTCTTTGATGGAATTTTGCTCTCATCACCTAGGCTGGAGTGCAATGGCATGATCTCAGCTCACTGCAACCTCTGCCTCCTGGGTTCAAGTTATTCTCCTGTCTCAGCTTCCTAAGTAGCTGGGATTATAGGCGCCCACCACCACACCTGGCTAATTTTTGTATGTTTAATAGAGATGGGGTTTCACCACGTTGGCCAGGCTGTTCTCAAACTCCTGACCTCAGGTGATCCACCTGCCTTGGCTTCCCAAAGTGCTGGGATTACAGGTGTGAGCCACCACGCCCGGCCACCACATTTTCTTTATCCATTCAGGCGAGCCACTCTTATCAGTTAATGGTGTTGGGAATCCTGCTGAAATCCAGGTTCCCGGATGCCAGCCCAAGCCTGACCTGGTCAGCAAGGCTTTCAGAGGAGAAAGCCTCACCCTGCTGTGTTGACTTTTTTCTGCACACAGCCTATCAGGTTCTTTCTAGCCTGGCCTTGCTTATATTTCTGATCTCCTCTTGTCCTGCTCTGTCCCTGGCTCACCTGTAGCCACACTATCCTCCTCTCGATCCTTCCAAATCCATTGCTGCCCCTGCATCTTGTTCCTACCTTGGGGCCTTTGCACAGGCTGTTCCTGGAAGACCTGTCCCATGCCCAGTTCCTCCACATTCTCAAATCTCAGTTTCATTGTCCTCCCTGCACTGAAGCTGCCCTGTCCCCACCCATCTGAAGCTTCACCCCCTACTCCCCCCGACCACTATTATTCCCTCTCACCGCAGTCCTAGTGTTTAGCATTTACCCAATTTGTCTCTATGGACAGGTTGCTTTCAATATCTGAATCTATGTGGTTCCTGAGATATGATAGCAAATTTTGGTTGCCAATATTATTTATTTATTTATTATTTTTTGAGACAGAGTCTCACTCTGTTGCCCAGGTGGAAGTGCAGTGGCACAATCTTGGCTCACTGCAACCTCTTCCTCCCAGGTTCAAGTGATTCCCCTGCCTCAGCTTCCCGAGTAGCTGGGATTACAGGTGCCCGACACCACGCCCGGCTAATTTTTTTTTTTTTTTTAAGATGGAGTCTCGCTCTGTCACCCAGGCTGGAGTGCAGTGATACAATCTTGGCTCACTGCAGCCTCTGCCTCCCAGGTTCAAATTATTCTCCTGCCTCAGCCTCGCATGTAGCTGGGACTATAGGCCTGAGCAACCACATCCAGCTTGTATTTTCAGTAGAGATGGGGTTTCACCATGTTGGCCAGGCTGGTCTCGAACTCCTGATCTCAAGTGATCTACCCGCCTTGGCTTCCCAGAGTGCTGGGATTACAGGTGTGAGCCACTGCACCTGGCCTAATTTTTGTTTTTTAGTAAGACAGGGTTTCACCATGTTGGCCAGACTGGTCTTGAACTCAAGTGATCCACCTGCCTCAGCCTCCCAAAGTGCTGGGATTACAGGCAGGAGCCATTGTGCCCGGCCTGGATGGTAATATTTTTGATCCCTGATTTTCAGATAGAATAGCAGCAGTCTGGATAGTGTGAGGTTTATTCAAAAAACATACCCAAATCCAGTAGTTATTGAATCAGATAATGAACATCGGGATGGCCAGGGCTGCCTGTAGTGATTGGTTCAATTGTTGAACTTGGCTTTCTTTCTATGCCTCCATACATACTGAAGCTCTGGTAGGGCAAGGGCTGTATTTTTGTTGTTAGTGTTGTCATTGTTTTGTTTTTCCTCCATTGCATCCTTAGCGTCTAGCACGGTGCATGGCGTGGTAGACATTGAGTAATCATTTGCAAATGAATGAATGAATGAGTGAGTGAATGAATGCTCTTGTGACTGCATGGGGCTATGGAGCTACAGTGCAAGGGGATGTCCCCTGAATGAGGCAGGCCAGGGAAGCATTCCTGCAGGTAGCGAGGAGTGACCTGAGTTTTAAAACACCTCTAGGGGGTTATTCAGGAAGTGTGTAGGGAAAGGCATTCTGGCAGAAGGAACAGCATAAGCAAAGGCCTGGAGACTTGAAACAGAGAACACTGGGGCAAGCCAGGAGTTTAAGGTGGGGCTCCCAATTTTTAGTGTAACCTGGTGTTTCTCAACCTTCTTTTCGTCATCATCCTGCTAAGGAGCCTCTCTAGACATATTTTCCTAATTGCCCTCCTTGTGAATGTAACATTTTAATATCATTGAGATACCGTATGTCTGCTTATGTCCTGTGCGTATCTGTGTTGTATACATTAAGAAGTCAGAAGCCAGGCACGATGGCTCACGCCTGTAATTCCAGCACTTTAGGAGGCTGATGCGGAAGGATCACTTGAGCCTAGGAGTTCAAGATCAGCCAGACACAGTGTCTATAAAAAATACAAAAATTAGCTGGGCACGGTGTCATATGTCTTTGGTTGCAGCTACTCGGAAGACTGAAGCAGGAGAATCACTTGAACTGGGAGTTTGAGGTCGCAGTGAGCCAAGATCATGCCACTGCACTTCAGCCTGGGCAACAGAGCCAGACCTTGTCAAAAAAAAAAAAAAGTCAATTATTTTTCTCTCAAGAACCAAATTTCAGCCTCTAAGGGTGAGGAGTGATGTTGTCCTGTTGAGAATGCATAGTGACGCCCAGGAGAAAGCCTTTTCCTTGTCAGAGCCCAGATCCCGCACCTCCTGTACTTCCTGCTCCTCCCCGCCCTCTGCAGTGGTGGCACCACCCACAGTGCCCCCAGGCCCAGGTCTCTCGGCAGCCATCTTGGTCCTGCTTCTTGTTCTCCAGCCATCATTGAAAAGAAGACCAACGACCTGCTGCTGTTGGAGACCTACAGGCGCATCCTGGAAGTGGAAGGGGCAGAGGCTGAGATCCCGCCACCCTTCATCAACCCTTTCTGGGGTGGCTCTGCCCTCCTCAAGCCCCCAGAACCCATCAAAGTCATCCCCCCAGTGCTGGGGGCTGACCCCTTCAGCGACAGGTTGGATGATGGTGAGTTCTCTCTCTCTCAATCTGCACAGGTTGCTAGGGAACCTGTGCCTTCAGGTCTGGGGAGACCGTGTCCAGGTGCCCGAGAGGGTCTGCAGTGTTGAACCTCGGTTTCCTCTCTTTATGAGCTCTTGTGGCCTGCCAGTTCCCTTGGGTGCCATCTTGGCTGTGGTCACTTGGTGTCACTTGCTTGGGGACTTTTCTCTCTATGATGCTAGGGTGACACAGATCCTGAAGTTTAGTTATTTTGGATATTTTTAAAAGTCAAAACTACCTTTTGATCATTTAAAATGAACCTTAAAATATCAAAAGTTTACAAGTTGGCAAGTTATGAGTAAACAGAGTTCCCAGACTCAGTGTCTCATGCTCACCCTATCTATGCTCCTGAGTCTCACTCACCTATGACCACCCTTTCCCTGACCCATTGTGCCTCCAGGACCCATCCTTGGCCCCTCCCCATTTTTGTCCCCTAACCCCACGGTTGAAGCAGCTTCAACCTGGTCCATGCCAGAAGCGAAATGGTCAACTGTGGCTCTTCCAACACCAGCCCATTGATCTTCCTTCTTTTCCAAGGTGGAAACTCACTCATCCTCCTCATGTGGGGAGCCAGGCCTTCACTCTGAAGGTGGGAATCAAATTGACCTCACCTGCTTTTTGGAGAGCAGTTTGGCCACATATATGGGAACCGATCCTTCCAGAAGGACTACTCAAGGGTGGAAGATGAAAGGTGGAGGAGTGGAGGCTGTTCACTGCAGCCCCAAACTGGAAACAAGTATAATGCCCACCCCTTAGAGATTGGTTAAATAAGGTCCAGCTCATCCACCCATGCAGTGGAATTCTAAGCAGCCCCAAAAATAAGGCACAGGGCCAATATGAAGAGACTAGGAAGATGCCCTTGATATTAAGACAAAAAGGGAAAACAGTCAGTTGCACAATTGTCTGGGCATCCTGAGAAGTACTGTATTGTATAATCCCATCTTTCTAAAAACATTCTCTACATATGCATGCAATACACAGGCACACACATGCGTGTGTACACACACACGTGTATGTATATATATGTGTGTGTGTATGTGTATATATGTGTGTGTGTATATATATAATATTATATATAATATATATTATATTATATATAATATATATTATATAAAATATATATTATATTATTATAATATATATTATATAAAATATATATTATATTATTATAATATATATTATATAATATAATATATATTATATATTATAATAATATAATATATAATATATATATAATATATATACTTTTTTTTTGCCAGTAGTCCTCAGTCAGGGGTGATTTACCCTTTATGGGACATTTGGCAATATCTGAAGATATTTTTGGTTGTCACAACTGAAAGTGACGGTGCTGCTGTCATCTAGTGGCCAAGGATGCTGCTAAAAATCTCACAATGCACAGGACAGCACTTCACAACCCTGATACGTAATAAGAGATATAAGACATGTGAGAGGGGGAGGGAGAGGGAGAGAGGGAGGAAGGCTCAGAGGCAGGAAGAGGAGGAGGAGGAGGAGGAGGAGGAGGGAGGGGCGATGAGAGAAAGGGAAGGAGGAAGGTTTCTAGATTATGCATAAAAAACCAAACAGAGGTGTATAAGCCACCTGTTACAGTGGATAATTCTGGATGGTGGTTTGCAAATAATGTTGCATTTCTAAGTTAAACAATTCTGTATTGTTTGAAATTTTCTCTTACAATGACCTTGCATGACTTTAGTAAGTAGGGGAAAAAATCAATTTTTTAAAAGCTGCCCCCATTTCTCTGAGCAGCATTTCAAGTGTGCCAAGGATGTAGAGACCCCCAACAAGCACACGTGCACACACACACATGCACACAACACATGCACACACACACGCACACACAGAGATCCTGTGTGTTTCAGCTGAGGAGACTGAAACGCAGCAGGAGTGAAAGCTAGGTCAGATGCCACCCATCTCAGCACAACTTCCACCGCCCTTTCAGTTCCTAAAAGGTTGGGGGGAGAGGTGGGCCAAGCTGCTGGTTAAGTCGTCCTCACAAGGTCAGAAATGTACAGATACTGTCTTCACATCTGTTCAAGGGAATGTTGATGAACATTAGGTTCTCCCAGCCCACTGGCCTCTATGGCCTACAGGTGTGAATTAGAAGGGCCACTTCTGGGTAGATTAAATTAGAAAAAGTTGCCCCTTCTGGGTAGCTATGGCTCAGCAATCAAGTGGGGGCTGGATTTCAGCCCATCCATCTACCGCTCTCCTCAGGTGTCTTTGTGCAGTGCACATCCTGAACAACTGCACATGGTGGCCCTAACTCCTTAACATTAAACCAGACATTCTTCACATCCTTGTCTGGGAGAAAAACTAGTCATTGTCTGGGCAGCCCCAAGAAGTATATTTCTGTTCATTCTCCCCCTCCTTGAAACCTGAGAATTTCCATGCTCCACTCCCCAGTGCTATGGAGGGACGCCAAACCAGGCTTAGCCCCAGCCCTGGGGTTGATTTCCCAGCACCTCACACAAATCTGATCTTGGTGCAGTGGAACAGCCCCTGGACCACAGCAGCCTTCGGCAGCTGGTTCTCGACAATTATATCCTGAAGGAGAATCGGAGTAAGGAAGTGCGCGGAGACAGCCTGCCTGAGAAGGTGGATGACTTCAGATCCAGGAAGAAAGTAACCATGTGAGGTGCATGCATGGGGCCACCTTTGCAACATAACCGAAAGAATAAATGTTTTGTTCTGTAGCCTCGTGCCTGTCACACACATTACTAAGGGCTTTGGGTACTGGGGCCACCTCTGGGCTGGGGCCGAGGAGCGAGAAGTAAAAGCGGGAACAGGGAGTGGGAACCATGTGAGTCCATCAAGGCCCCTGGAAACCTCTGAGCTGGAGACCAGCACAGGCCACCCCCAGATATGCAGAGACATGGATGCAGATGCGGTCCACCAGATGTAACAGGGACTAGCCCGGGGGAGGGGCCATGCTGGAGCCAAAGTGTGGATCCTGAGACGCCCCTGGCCACCCGAGGTGTGGCAAACACTCACAAATGGGAAGTGGGAGCTGGGGGCGTGCTGGATCTGCTACTCTGGGTGTGTCTGTGTACATGTGTGTATATCTGTGTTTCTGAGTGTCTGTGTCTCTGTGTGTTTGTATCTATGTGTCTGTATATATGTCTGTGTATATCTCTTTGTGTATCTGAGTGTGTCTCTGTGTCTGTGTGTCCATGTATGTGTGTACCCGTGTGTGTCTCAGTATCTGTGTGCATCTCCATATGTCTCTGTGTCTCTGTTTCTGTGTGTCTCTGCGTGTCTGCACCGGTGTGTGTCTCTGTATATCTCTGTGTCCGTGTGTGTCTCTGCATGTCTGTATCTGCGTGCATCTCCGTATGTCTCTGTGTCTCTGTCTCTGTGTGTCTCTGCATGTCTGCACCTGTGTATGTCTCTGTGTGTCCCTGTCTATGTGTCTCTGTATGTTTCTGTGGCTCTCTCTGTGTGTGTCTCTGTGTGTCCCTATCTGTGTGTCTCTGTGTGTGTCTCTGTATGTTTCTGTGTCTCTCTCTCTGTGTGTCTCTGCATGTCTGTATCTGTGTGCATCTCTGTGTCTCTGTGTGTGTCTCTGTATGTCTCTGTGTGTCCCTGTCTGTGTGTCTCTGCGTGTCTGTATCTGTGTGTGTCTCTGTATCTCTGTGTGCATCTCTGTATGTCCCTGTGTCTCTGTCTCTGTGTGTTCTGTATGTCTCTGCAAGTCTGTACCTGTTCTTGGGATTCTCTTTTTTTTTTTTTTTGAGCCGGAGTTTGGCTCTGTTGCCCAGGCTGGAGTGATCTCAGCTCAGTGAGTGGTGTGATCTCAGCTCACTGTGTATCTGTGTGCATCTCTGTATCTCTCTGTGTGTCTCTGCATGTCTCTGTCTCTGCGTGTGTCTGTCGTGGGTGAGCATGTCACTGTGGAGCTGAGTCCAGGGTGTCTTGCCCAGAACCACGCACTGCCCTGGAGTGTCCTGAGTCCCGCCTTCTTGGTGCCGGACTGCATCTCTGACCACAGGAGCCCGGGTATGAGGCTCTCGGCCTGGACCAACTCTGGAGTGCAGGGAAGCCGTGAGGGGCGAGGGTCACCACAGGGTGTGGGGTGTCCTGGGTCATGGGGATGGGGCCATGACTCCCCTGGGTCCCTGCCCACGCAGCCTGCTTTGAAAGGGGCCCCAGGTCTCTGCAGCCAGGGGACAGTTTCATTCGTCTTGTTAATGGCTCAGCCCTGAGCTCCTCCCACTGTTGTCATTGTCAAGCCTTGAGGACTGGCCCTAACTGTGGCTCCTCTGGCCTCCTGGGTCCTCCTGCCTTCACTGTGACCCCAGCTCCACTCCGTCACCACATTTCAGCTTCTTCCCATCACATCACTGACTTGGGCTGTGTCCTGGGTTCTTGGGTTCTTAGGAGTCTCTCTCTCTCTCTCTCTTTTTTTTTTTTTTTCCGAGACGGAGTTTGGCTCTGTCGCCCAGGCTGGAGTGATCTCAGCTCAGTGAGTGGTGTGATCTCAGCTCACTGCAACCTCCACCTCCCGGGTTCAAGTGATTCTCTTGCCTCAGCCTACTGAGTAGCTGGGATTACAGGCATGTGCCACCATGCCTGGTTAATTTTTGTATTCTTAGTAGAGACGGGGTTTTGCCATTTTGGCCAGGCTGGTCTCGAACTCCTGACCTCAAGCCATCTGCCTGACTCGACCTCCCAAAGTGCTGGGAGGGTTCTTGGGATTCTCTTGAAAACTTGAAGTACCCGAAGTCCACTCCCTGCTTCTTCTTGGGTTTTCCTCTGGGGAATCTTCCCTCCCATCTCCAGGCCATATGGTTCAGGAGGACTCTGATTTCAACCCCAGCACAGGGCTGATCATTTGAGCCAGGCCTGTCCATCAGAGCACTGCCCTTGCCAGTCCATGGTGATTGGCTCAGGGGTGTCAAGTGCCCCAGAGGGATCCCACAAGGCCCTGTTCTGATGTTTGTGTGGAGCTGGAAGAGAGAGGAGTACGCTCTTCTAGGATTGCTGAGGGGCTGGAAAAGGGGCAGGAGCTGCTCTTAATTATTTTGCCACTGCTGAGAGCAGAGCAACGTGACAGAAAACAGAGGCCTCCCCAGCCTCTGAGGGCACTGCCTGGGCTCCTAGGTGCAATTGTGCTTGAAGCCCTTGGACTTCTTAGTTATTTGAACCTATTTCTGTTTTTTTTTTTTTTCCTTTTCTAAGAGACAGAGTCTTACTCTGCCACCCAGGCTGGAGTGCAGTTCACTGCAGCCTCGACCTCCTGGGCTCAAGCGATCTTCCCACTGCAGCCTCCTGGGTAGCTGAGACCACAGGTGCACACCACCATGCCTGGCTATTTATTTTTTATAGAGATTGGATCTCACTATGTTGCCTAGGCTGGTCTCAAACTTTTGGGCTCAAGTGATCCTCCTGCCTCAGCCTCTCAAAGCGCTAGCATCACAGGCGTGAGCCACCACACCTGGCCCTATTTGTTTCTTACACTGGGACTCTTGCAGCCATAACAGACCTGAATGCTTCAACCGTGACTGTGGTCATTCAAAATCAAAGGTCAACTCACATCCAGGCCTGGGCCCCAGACAGAGACAGAAGTCAGTACCACTCCCTCAGTTTGCTAGGGAAGAAGTACAGACAACTTCTACTTTATCTGAAACTAGAAGTCACCCTCTTAGGATTAGCAGGTGTGATTACTGTTGAACGAGCTATGTTCCTACCATGTGTCAGTCCGCTTCCTTCTTGTCACTGTCACTGGCAGGAGAGGCATTCCGATGGCATCCCAAGGGACAGATGTCATGGAAGCAAGGCCCTCTAAATGCTTGAGCTCTTTGGAAGAGAGGGCTTTGGTCATCCAGGTAACATTCCAGGAAAACGTGATCCTTGATAGAAACAGTTCTGAGTGGCTGCAAAGGTCTACCTTAAATAAAGAGTCACCAAGATTCAATAATAATGACTGCAAGGCTGTCACTAGCTCATCTGCCTTTGCCTTCCTTACACAAGGCACTGTTTGTCAGAGAAATGTCGTGACCAAATACACGACCTCCTGTTTATTGGAACATGGCCTCTGGATGGATTTCCAACTGTAGGATGTGCGGCCACGAAGTACCCATAGCCACCCAGGCTGCAAAGAAGATGGAGGTGGATAAATGGGGCAGCCACATGGCTAACAGACAAGGTAGGGACAGAGGCGGTACTCGGGGGAGAGAGATGAGGGCAGGGACCACTCTGCAAAGACGAGCCCAGGGCGCAGCAGCGAGCCCCCTCCTAGTCCTTCTCTTCTCCGTGGGTGATGATGTGCACCAGGTTCTTGTAGTCCAAGTTGCCAGTCACGTCAGGGGGGAAGGCGGCGAACATCTGGTCAACCTGCAATGAGCCAGCAACACGTGCTAAGGACGAGGGGAGGGGAACTGAGACGGAGGGTGGGGGGCTGTGGGCGGGGCCTGAGTGGACGGATAGCTGGGGGGTGGGGGATGGGAACATGGGCCACTCAGAGGGTCCTCCGGGGAAGGACTTCCCCAGCTGCTGCAGGGCCCCCTCGCCCAAGGTCATGCCCTTTCTGGGGCAGCCCACAGCCAGCGGATGGGATTGGTGTGGGGGTATAAAGGCACGGCCATCTCGCCCAACTTGGTACCTCTCAGGAGAGCTGTAGAATAAGCTCCCTCCCTGGGTAGTCAGCAGTGCCGATCTTTGGGCCTAAATCTTGGCTCAACTTCTTCCTTCATGCACTTTTCCTTCCTTGCCCTTCCCTGTTCTTCCTTTCTTGCCCTTCCCTGTTCTTCCTTCCCTGACCCCAAGGGCCCTCCCAAGTAAACATCATGCAGAGATGTCCCTGGAAACCCAGCCTTCCACTGGGATCACAAACTCAAGGGTTCCGAGGGGCCAGGCAGGTTATGCAAGGGAGCAGGATAGGTCCTATGGCTAAATGGAGACACGTGGCCATCTAAAAAGGTGACATGAAGTGACCACAGGGTCCAGGGTGTCAGAAATCTAGATTTTTGTTTTTACACAAAATTTCCCCATTTAAAAAGCATTGGCTAGTTATTATTATTATTTTTTTAAAACATACTGGCTATTCATAGCTAGCACTTATATTGCCCTTGCCACAAGTTCACACTTTCCCCACATTAACATGTCGAATCCTCGCAATCTCCTATGAGGTAGCTTCTATTATTATTCCCACTTTACAGATGAGGAAATTGAGGTGCAGTGAGGTTAAGGAGCTTGTTCAAAGCACACAGCAGGTGGAAAGTGAAGGCAGCCCTTTTAGCTGCTTGAATTTTGGGGGAGGGAAAATCTACATACAATTTTTAGTAAAATGTGGAACTTGATGGAAACAGGCCTGTGAGGCTATGAGGGGAGCATTTAAAATCGACTCATTAAGGTTCACTAATAAGGTTGACGGCACCATTGCTTGCTCATACAGAAGCTTTGGCAAATTAGCAAAAGTGCCCCTTCTACCAAACTCACTACCGCACCACCTGAGTTGAAAAAAAAAAAAATTATTACCAGACACTTTACTGCCAGTTCTGGAAAGCTGTTGCAACAAATACACAGTCTGATGACTTTTATGAAACTGACATTTAGAAGAATTGTTCAGTGCACAACTCACATGACAGTATGTGGCGGCCCTTCACGCCATAATAATGTCATGCTCTAAGCAGGTCTCTATGCATCGTGAGCAAGGCAGAACCTGCAGTCACGCAGACCTAGGTTTGAATCTAGGTCCTGGCATTTACTATTAGTGTTGTTATTTTATTTTATTTTTGAGACAGAGTCTTGCTCTGTTGCCCAGACTGGAGTGCAGTGGCATGATCTTGGCTCATTGCAACCTCTGCCTCCCGGGTTCAAGCGATTCTCGTGCCATGCGTCAGCCTCCTGAGTGGCTGGGAATACAGGCGTCCACCACCATGCCCAGCTAATTTTTGTATTTTTAGTAGAGACAGGGTTTCCTCATGTTGGCTAGGCTGGTCTCAAACTCCTGGTCTCAAGTGATCCTCCTGCCTTGGCCTCCCAAAGTGCTGGGATTACAGGTGTGATTATTGTTATTTTAGATGAGTGACTTTACTTCCCTGGGTCTCAGTTTGCCTATCTGTAAAATGGCAGTTATGCCAGTCCCTACCTCATAGGGTGGCAGAGAATGAAATGAGGCCAGGCCTCAGAAGACGATAGCTGGTTCTCTGTCAGTGTGGGGTCAGGGGTGCTTTAGACGAGAGGGGAGACGGAGCCCCCCAGAAGGAGAACCCAGGAGCTGGGTTAGAGGGAGTGCTTGAAGGACCCCATTACCTCCTCCTTGGAAAACCTCTCCGCCTGCGTGGTCAGCATTTCCCGAACGCTGCAGAGAAAGGAAAGCAGGTGTTGGTGTCAGTTGTGTGTGTGTAGGGGGGACAGGGGGCAAGCAGGGAACCCCCTTCCTCCCCCACAGACCCCACTCACTAATCAGCCTTCAGCACCCCTTTGCCTTCAGGGTCAAACACTTTGAATGCGTTGAGAATGGTTTCCTCAGGGTCCGCTCCTGAAACGGAACACAGGGCTTACATGTACTGGGGGTGGCTGGGAACCACTGGCACCCCAGGCAGCAGGGCCCAAGTTCCCCCAGAGATGAAGGGGCCAGAGCAAGGCTGCTTTGCATGGAGGAAAAAGACCCTGCTTTCGTCTGATCACTGAGCCTCTGTATTTCGAAGAGAGGGCTGAGAACCCAAGGTCAAACATCATCTAGATTTGAAAGCCTGGGATTCAAATCTTAACCCTGGCACTTGCTAGCCATGTGGCCTCAGACAAGGGACTTTCTGTCTCTTAGTCTCAGTTCCCCATCTGTAAACTGGTGATAAGAATAGAGCATACCTCCTAGTTGCTATTAAGTGGGGTAATGCATATAAAGTGGTTAGCATGAGGTCTGACTTAGGTTAAGTCTTGGAGCAATGTTAGTTGCTGTGTTTTTGTTTTGTTTTGTTTTGTTTTGAGACAGAGTCTCACCTTGTTACCAAGGCCGGAGTGCAGTGGCACAATGTCAGCTCACTGCAACCTCTGACATCCCGGTTCAAGGGATTCTCCCGCCTCAGCCTCCTGAGTACCTGGGACTACAGGTGCACACCACCATGCCTGGCTAATTTTTTTGTGTGTTTTTAGTACAGATGGGGTTTCACCATGTTGGCCAGGTTGGTCTTGAACTCCTGACCTCAAGTGATCTGCCCGCCTCGGCCTCTGAAAGTGCTGGGGATTACAGGCATCAGCCACTGCGCCCAGCCAAGTTGCTGTTTTCATTATTTTTTTCCAATGGTGCTTTATCTCTTTTAAAGTTAACCATCTTCTGCCAGCCCCCCCGAAGAAACATAGACACATACACACAGACACACACACACACACACGACCTTACCCTTAAGTTTCTCCCCAAACATTGTGAGGAACACAGTAAAGTTAATTGGACCCGGAGCCTCCTTGATCATTTCATCAATTTCTTCATTTTTCACGTTCACTCGCCCTAGGGTAGGAAACACACACTCAGGGACTCCGAGCTGGGGAGAAAGAACCATTATGACACTGCCATTGGCTCCTGGGATTCCACTTCAAGAAATCTAGTCTAGAAATCATCAGAGATGGGGTGGATGGAGGCAAAGATCTTTTCTGAGAAGATGTTCTTGACAGTGTTATTTATAATAACCAAATGACTGGAAGCGACCCTAACATCTGATGTGGGAAGGTGTTCGTTATTTATTTATTTTTCTTTGAGACAGGGTCTGGCTGTGTCACCCAGGCTGGAGTGTAGTGGTACAATCTCGACTCACTGTAACCTCCGCCTCCCAGGTTCAAGCGATTCTCGTGCCTCAGCCTCCCAAGTAGCTGGGATTGCAGGTGCATGCCACCATGCCTGGCTAATTTTTGTAGTTTTTTGGACAGACAGGGTTTTGCCATGTTGCCCAGGCAGGTCTCGAAGTCCTGGGTTCAAGTGGTCCTCCAGCCTACGCCTCCCAAAGTGCTGGGATTACAGGTGTGAGCCACCATGCCGGCCAGTTCATTATATTTAAAATAGTGTCTTCAGAACCTGGAACATTTGATGCAGATATTTTCATTTTTCACTCAAATGGGAAAGGCTCATGTTGTAAATTAGCCCTTCACAGTTGGAGGCGGGAGAGACAGATCAGGATCACCTGAGGGAACTTTTACAAGTTAAACCTGCTGTAACCCACAGCCGTGGAGGTTCTGATTTACCTGCTCTAGTCCTGCCACAAGCCTAACTTTGTGCAAATAAGAAAAATCTGTCATTTTTTAAGCCAATGTATGTTTTAAGTATAAAAAGCTACACTCACTACAAATGTGAATACTTCCCTGTAGAATTGTGCAGTGCGCAGTCTGCACAGCTGTGTATGGTTGCCCTGAGTTCTAAGGTCAGGAGTAAGTGGTGGTGGCGGGTAGCAGATTGGGCATGTATATTTTGAAGAAACTCCATGTACTCATGCTCACACTGTTGAGATGATACATTTTAGAAGATAAATTCGAAAGAGAATGATTCCAATAATTTAAAAAACTAAAACCCAAACCTAACAGACATGTCTAGAAAGACTTAGAGGAGGGACTGGAATGTTCACAGTGGAATATGACCTTCTGGGTGATGTCATTTTCTCCTTTATACTTTTCTGCATTTTTTCCCCATTTTCTGTTGTGAGCTGACATTGCATTCAAAATCACACAAAAAAGTTATTTCAAGAGAAAAAAAAGATATCTGAAGGTACTCAAAGACTAAACACTTCTTTCCCATCCCCTGAAATTTGTCTTAAAGACCAGTTGTGGCAGAGTTGTTTCTTTGGGAAATGACACCATCTTGAGCTTTTCTGATGGTCCCACCTCCTGCTCCTCATGGATGTGAGATAAAGAGACCCTCATGCAGGGCTAGAGAGGGTGACATACCAAGGGCAGCAAAGGTGTCTCTCAGATCGTTCTTGTCAATGAAGCCATCCCTGTTCTGGTCCATGATAGTGAAGGCCTGTGGAAGGGAAGTGATTGGCAGCTCAGCCTGGGAGAAACTGGCAGAGTTGCCCAAGAGATTGGGCCAAGGACTTGGCAGGAGTGGATTCTGGGATCTTCAAAGATCATTGTAGGACCTCAGATTAAAAGTCAACAATTGAAGATAATCCAACAGTTTCTTCAAAACGTCAGGCCTCGTGTTATCATATGACCCAGACATTCCACTGCTAGATATATACCCAAGAGAATTGAAAACATGTCCACATAAAAGCCTGTACACAAGGCTGGGCACAGTGGCTCACGCCTGTAATCCCAGCACTTTGGGAGGCCTAGGCCCGTGGGTTACTTGAGGTCAGGAATTCAAGACCAGCCTGGCCAACATGGTGAAACTCCGTCTCTATTAAAAATACAAAAATTAGCCAGGCGTGGTGGCGCATGCCTGTAATCCTAGCTACTTGGGAGGCCGAGGTAGGAGAATTGCTTGAACCCAGGAGGCAGAGCTTGCAGTGAGCTGAGATCATGCCACTGCATTCCAACCTGGATGACAGAGCAAGACTCCATCTCGGAAAACAAAAACAAAAACAAAAAAACCTGAACACAAATGTGTATAGCAGCATCGTTCACAGTAGCCCAAAACTGAAAATAACCTACATGTCCATCAACTGATGAATGGATAAACCAAATGTGGTCTGTCCATACAATGGAATATTATTCAGCCATAAAAAGGAGGGAAATTCCTACAAAGGTTACAACATGGATGAGCCTTAAAACATCAGTGAAAGAAGCCAGACACAAATACCACATATTGTATGATTCAATTTCTATGAAATGTCCAGAACAGGAAATTCATGGAGACAGAAAATGGATTAGCAGTTGCCAGGGGCTGGTGGGAGAGGGAGGAGCAGGAAGTGACTGCTAATGGGTATGGGGTTTCTTTCGGGGGTGATGGAAATATTCTGAAATTAGATAGTGGTGATGGTTGCACAACTTTGTGAGTATACTGCAAACCACAAAACTGCACACTTCAAGGGTGAATTTTATGGTATGCAAATTATAACTCTATAAAGCTATTTATTTATTTATTTATTTATTTTTGAGAAAGAGTCTTGCTATGTCACCCAGGCCGCAGTGCAGTGGTGCAATCTCGGCTCACTGTAACCTCCGCCTCCCGGGTTCAAGCGATTCTCCTGCCTCAGCCTCCCGAGTAGCTGGGAGTATAGACGCGCATCACCAATGCCCAGCTTATTTTTCTTTAGTAGAGTCAGGGTTTCACCACGTTGGCCAGGCTGGTCTCAACCTCCTGACCTCAAGTGATCTGCCCACCTTAGCCTCCCAAAGTGCTGTGATTGCAGGTGTGAGCCACTGTGCCTGGCCCGTGATTCCTCATTTGTAAAACACTTGGGCATTTATAAAGTTCTGAGAATCTCCCTGACTGTCAGCTGAGATAGATTACTGGTCCCATTTTATAGATAGGGCAGGCTAGGGAGTGGAGAGGCCAGATGAGACACCAGTTTTTAGCTTTTTAAAAAATAATAGCTTTAGGCCAGGTGCAGTGGCTCACGCCTGTAATCCCAGCACTTTGGAGGCCGAGGCGGAGGGATCACTTGAGGCCAGGAGTTTGAGACCAGCCGGGCCAACACAGTGAAACCCTGTCTCTAGTAAAAATACAAAAAAATTAGCCAGGCATGGTGGTGAGTACCTGTAATCCCATTTACTCAGACAAACAAACAAACAAACAAACAAACAAACAGACCAAATGGGGAATCCTGGCTACATGTTTTGAGTTCTTTGCATCCCTTACCCACACCGCCGGCAGCTGATGCCAGAGGCTGGGAAAAGAGGCGGGTGTAGCTTTCTGCCTGGAAGGTGACTATCTCAAGTTCAGATATGACACTTGCCTCAGGAATTTCTCTTTCCCTATGGGACACGGCATTCCTGCAATCTGAATGTTAGTGAGGACAAAAGGTACGACTGTTCATTTCCTGTTTGGAAGCCCCAAATGGTTTCCCCTTTGATATAAAGCACACTAGGGCAGGGTGTAGTGGCTCATGCCTGTAATCCCAGCACTTTGGGAGGTCAAGGCAGGAGAATTGCTCGAGCCCAGGAGTTTGAGACCAGCCTGGGCAACACAGGGGGACTCAATCTTTACAAAAATCACAAAAATTAGCTGGGCACAGTGGTGTGTACCTGTGGTCCCAGCTACTCAGGAGGCTGAGGTGGGAGGATTGATTAATCTGGGAGGTTGATGCTGCAGGGAGCCGTGGTTGTGCCACTGCACTCTAGCCTGGGTGACAGAGCGAGACTCTGTCACACGCACAAAAAAAGAAAGCAGTCTGGTCTCTTTAGCATCATTTTAGCATAGTTCCCTCTGGAAAGCCAGGTGGGAATGTGGATGAGTCAGTGTGAGCCCTCGCAACGGCTGGAAAATGAATTCTGAGCCTGTCCATCCAAGCCCGTGTGCAGTTTGGCCTAATTGGTACTTTGGTTCTCTTCATAAGGTCCATTGCCATCAAATGCGATGGGGTTTCAAATGGGGCTAGTGGTTAATAATCAAAGACTGTAAAATGTAAAACCCAGAAGATACTGCTTTTCACCTCTCAGACTGGCAAAAAAAAATTGTGACTATTAATACCCAGCGTTGATGGAAATGTGGGGAAAGGCACGAGGCTGCTGGGCATAGGAATTAGTGCTGTGATTTTGGGGGGCAATTCGGACCAGCAGTTCTGCCTGTTTTTAGTTCTTTTGTTGTTGTTGTTTTAAGTTCCTTTGACCCAGCAGTTCTGCTTTTAGGAATTTACCCCCAAGAAATAACCAGAGATACAAGCAAAGAGGTGTTATTTATAGTAGTAAAACATTATAAACAAATGTCATATTTAACCATAGGAAATGGTTTAAATACATGATAGGAAATGTTAATGGTGAATTTCTCAACGAAAAAAATGCAGGTGTAATCAGTGGGCACAGAAGATTATAATTTTGTTTAATAAATATATACATAGATAACAAAAATGGTTTGAAGGGTATATACTAAAATGTGAACTGATTATCTCTGGGTAATAGAATTGTAGGTAGTTTTTATTTCCTTTTCTGTGCTTTTCTGAAAAATTTTCCAACATTTTTCAACATGGAATATGTTTTACTTTGATAATCAGTGAAAATATTAAAAATAGTTTCTTTTAAAAATTCACACATCCGTTCAGGCCGAATTTGGGATTGTTTGGAGGATAGAGGCATCTAATGAAAGGTCCCTGCTGGGAATATGGAACAAAAAGAAGGTTCTCCCTCGTGGGTGGGATTTCCATCCAGGCGGATGATTCAATAGCTGCACCCACCTCCTTAAATTCCTGGATTTGGGTCTGTTCGAACATGGAGAACACGTTGGAGTTGGCGCCCCCGGCTCTCTTCTTTGCTTTCTTAGGTGCCTGGGGGAAAAAAGCATCGATTAAAAGAGTGAGAGGCTGGGAGTCAAAAAACTAGGTCAGGCCCCTACTCTGGGTGTGTTCATCTCTGTTGCAGGGCTCAGCTGCCCATCTGTGAAATGTGGGTACAGCATCCACACTCAGGTCTCCAAACGGTGATGCTGGAGGGAGCAAAGGACATGACATGAAGTTTCTCCAGAGCCCTCTGGTACCAGTGGATCATAAGCGTTTGTGCATCTTGCAGTGGCTCCTTCACCAACTAGGAGAAGCCACAGGTGTGTCCCTGGGGATGGAGGCCACACCTTCAGATCGCCCCTGCAGGATCCAGCCACTTTTGTTCTGATGCATTTCACAAAAAGCTCAGTAATGCACAGAAGGAGAATTGATTGGAGGGAAAGAAAAAGTCAGGCTCACTAAGCCATGATGAATGCCAAGATGAAATGACAGTTCTTCAAGGTGTTAAAACCCAACTGCGCCCCACACCCCACAATTTTCCCTTGCTCCAAATGGCAGCAAAACCTCCTCTCTGAATGCTCCGTCCTTGCACCACATCAATAGGGCAGAGAAGAGCGAGTTGACCTTTCTTCCCCACCCCACTTCTCTCTGACTTTCAATAACAGCAAATGATTCGGTACTCTACATATGTATTATTTAATTCTCATAACCACTCTGTCAAGTGGATACTATTATTATCATCCCCATTTTACAGGAGAGGCAACTGAGGCTCAGAGAGGTTGGGTCACTTGCCCAAGATCACACAGCCACACACACAGAAGGCAGAGCCGGAGTTGAACTTGGGCGTTGAACTTGGGGAGTTGAACTTGGGCATTCTGACTCCAGAGTTCCTGCCTCTAACCACTCTCCCTCCTGTGCTGACCCTGATTTGGGGACTGCCCACTTCAGGAGGGGGACACCTAACCCAACAGCACAGAAAGAAAGGTTTTAAATTTGCAAGTTCAAAAGGTGAAAACAAAAACATTCTTTTTCCCAGCTGCCTGAACAAGAGAAAAGAATTACAATTTGATCCTTAAAAGCATTCAATCCCATTTTGCAAGTCCTGGGAGTTATTGATTCCTCGAGAGGTCAGTAGACAAGCCATAAAAAAGCCAACTCTCTTATTTTGTGTTTGTGAGTCCCCGAGAGCTGCTGTTATTTGTGGCCTATCGGGGCATTGATTGGGGTTCCTCTGTGCCCGCGCAGTCAATGGGGCTTTTTCCACAAGGGGCTGGAGGCTTTGAGGGCCGCCTTCCTCCCCCTCCGCCGTGGTCCCTCGCTTGTAGTGGCTTCCTCTCCTCGCCCACCCGGCATCATCACCTCCTGGAGCCCTTGTACTCACCATGGTGGAAAGGACCCAGCACTGCCTCCCGAGAAGAATTCCACACTCCGCCCAGCTCTCTGCAGCCCAGGAACAATAAATACTTCCTCCCCATGTTTAAAAATAACCCCATGACCGCTTTTGGCAGTCATAGGTGAGGCGGGCACCACCTAAGGCCCCCCCACCCCATGCCGTTCTTCTGAAGTAAGGGTGGCTCACTCGCCACTGGGTGACACGTGAGCCCCCAAAAAGGCATTCAAGGTTAAAGAGGCAGTAGCTGGGTCATGGTCACGGGGAGAGATGCTGCGCGCTCTCTGCGGTGCTTGGGCCGGGGACACTTGTGCTTGTCAATTTTGAGAAAAAAAATGGCAGGGAGAGGAGACTGCTAAAATGCTCTGTTTTATCAGCCTGGATCTGGCCTCAGGGTCTTTGCACCTGTGTGCCCTCTACCTGGAATGTCTTTCTGTCAGTCATCGCACGGCTCCTTCCTTCACCTCCTTCACTGCATCTTTGCTCATATGTCATCTCCTGAGTGAAGCCTCCCCGACCACCATCTTTAAAATAACCATGAAGGCTGGCACTGTGGCTCATGCCTGAAATCCCAGCACGGCGGGAGGCCGAGGCGGGAAGATTGCTTGAGCCTAGGAGTTTGCGACCAGCCTGGGTGACATAGGGAGATGCCTGTCTCTACGCAAAAGAAAAAAAAATAGCTGTGCGTGGTGGTGCATGCCTATAGTCTCAGCTATTCAGGAGGCTGGGACAGGAGGATCACTTGGGCCCGGGAGGTTGAGGCTGTGGTGAGCCACGATCACACCACTGCACTCCAGCCTGGGTGACAGAGCAAGACCCTGTCTCAAAACAAACAAATAACACAGCCACGCACCTCCTGCGCTCCGATCTCCCTTCTTTGTTTCTCTGCACAGCGTGAGGCAGTCCCGAACACTGCCCACAGTGCACTGACTCATTTTCTTCAGCATCTGTGGAGCGTCAGCTCAGAGGGCAGGGATCACTTTAGTTTCCCTCACCACTGACTGTCTCCCCAGCTCCCAGCTCATGATGCACACAGCAGCAGCTCAAAAATAAATATTTGTTGACTGAAGAAATGACAAATCTCATTGACTGAGCACTGGCACGTGCCGGACACTATGTGCTCATGGCTCCCACACATAATTTTCCAGCCACCCTAGAGGGTGGGGACCACCTCATCATCCATGCCCCCATTTTACAGATGCGGAAACAAAAGCTCAGAGAGGCGAAGTGAGCTGCCCAGGGTCACACAGTGATGGAGCTAGGCGTGGACCCCTCTGGAGGCCCCTTTGTCTCCAGAGTCCAGGCTCTTTAAGAGCCTTGAAAACAGCAGCTGCTCTCAGAATGCAAGGTGTCATTATATAATACTTTTACTGAAGACAGCTTTCCTGCTGGGTGCAGTGGCTTATACCTGAAATGCCAGCACTTTGAGAGGCTGAGGCGGGTGGATCACTTGAGTCAGGAGTTCAAGACGACCTTGGCCAACATGATGAAACTTGTCGCTACTAAAAATACAAAAATTAGCCAGGCGTTGTGGCGCGGGCCTGTAGTCCCAGCTACTCAGGAGACTGAGGCAGGAGAATCGCTTGAGGCCGAGAGGCAGAGGTTGCAGTGAGCCGAGATAGCGCCATTGCACTCCAGCCTGGGCGACAGAGTGAGACTCTGACTCAAAAAAAAAAAAAAAAAAAAAAAGGACGGGCATGTTGGCTCACACCTAGCACTTTGGGAGGCCGAGGCGGGTAGATCACCTGAGGTCAGGAGTTCAAGACCAGTCTGGCCAACATGACAGAACCCCATCTCTACTAAAAATACAAAAATTAGCTGGGCGTTGTGGCACATGCCTGTACTCCCAGCTACTTGGGAGGCTAAGGCAGGAGGATTGCTTGAACCCAGGAGGCGGAGGTTGCAGTGAGCCGAGATCGTGCCATTGCACTCCAGCCTGGGCGACAGAGCAAGACTCCATCTCAAAAACAAAGACCAAAAAAACCCCAAACTAAACCAAAACAACAAAAGATGGCCATCTTCCTGTGCCCTTAAAGACAGCCTTGGGATTCAGGGAGCAAGAACTCGGGGCTTGGAATCATTGTGGTTATTTAGTGTCCGTGGGTGGCAGGCCTGAGTGCCAGAGGCCACACCTCTAAGAAGGAGAATGTCCCTCTGCCCTCCCAGTAGTGTGGGTGCGGGGCTGATGGCTGAACCAGCATTCATTCCCCTTCATCGAGCCCAGCGCAAAGCAACAAATTCCCTTCCCTTGAGGTGCGTAAGTGCGAGGGGAAGATGGACAAGGAGAAAGTAAACAAATGCACAACCCAGACAGTTGCAGGCAGTGACGGATCTCATGCAGGGATGAGACAGAGGCATGGCAGTGGCCAGGTGACAGCCTCAGACAGGGGCGCAGGTGGGCTCCTCCAAGCAGAGTCTGCAAAGGGGGCTCCAGGCAGTGGGGACAGCACATACCTCAAGGCAGGGAGAATTTGGAGGCTTTGAGGAACAGAAGGCCCCCTGGGGCTGGAGTTTTCCAGAGCTTAAAAAAAGAAATCACTTTTCTTATTAGGTTTTCCAGAGGGTAAAAGGAGGTGAGACCTGGCAAATGGTAGCTATCACTCACTCCCCTTCTCAGGTGGAAAAATAATCTCAATTTGGGGGCACACAAACCCAAGGACCATTGATGGCTGTGACAAAAAAAGGTGTGGGTTTTTTTCTTCTCTGCAGTCCCACATGGGTTAGAGTTACCCAGGACACTCTTCTGACAGATCTTTAATAACAAAAGATGTGTTCATGTGTGTGTGTAGGCACATGCATGCACAGACAAAAACACGTCTGCACATGCATAGAGGCACACAGACACGTGCATGTACACGCATCCACATATGTGCAGTGCACACATCAAGAGGAGCTTTTCTGTCCAAGGTTCTCTGACAACACCAGAATAAATGTTTCCCTAGCTAATAGGCACACCATAGATTTTCGTTAAAACCCTGTGTGAGCAGTCAGTAGCTCCAACTGGCCAAGTGAAAAGGTTGTTGCAGCCACAGAAGATGTGGAGAGTGTATGATGGGGGGTGGGAAGCCCCGGGGTGGGGATTAGGATGGGCTGGGCCCCCAGAGTCGAGTGGGGGTGTGTGTCCCTGAGGGACACCTGTACAGCCAGGCCTCCAGAAGGGGTACTAGAGGAACCATTCTGGCTGGATAGCAAGAGGGGTTGTCAAATAGGGCACTCACCCTCTCGGGCCTGTTTCCTCACCTGGAAAAGGGAGATCACACACCTCCATAAGGCTGCTGGGAGGATTAAGTGAGATTGTGTCTAGGGATTCTGGGAAATGGCGGCCTGAATGGGGCATGGAACCACGTGGCTGCTGGGACGTGGAGCACGTGGGGTGTGGACTAGGCCTTGGGGTCTGTTGAGAGAGCCAGAGATCCAAAGTCTCTCTCATCAATGGGTTGTGTTGCCCCAGGGAGCCCCCAAGACCAGGGACAAGGCCCTGGGATTGGAGAATCCAGGGAGGACTTGGTTCTTTGTAGACTTCAGGGGTTCCTTTCAGCATCAGCCTCAAGACTGCGGGGGCTGGGGAGGGAGCGAGTGGGCGGCTGGGGCTGTTGTGCCCTGCCCTCAAGGCTGGGTGGCGGAGGCCTCTTGCTGAGAAGCACATGCCCACAGGACCTGAGACCCCTGCCTTTTTGCTACCTGTGGGATTCCTACAGCTAATAAGTTTCCAGCAGCTAGACCTGAGTCCCACTGAATAGAAGAGAAAAATAACTGCTCACTTGAGGCTGTCAGAAGCCAGAGAGAAGCACAGTGGGCCGATCCATCAGAATAGCAACTTCTAGAATATCAGAAACCCAAGTGTATTTGTTTCTTATTGCTGCTATAAAAATATTACCGATGTGGTGGCTTAAAACAGCACTTCTTTTTCTTTTGAGACAGGGTCTCACCCTGTTGCCCAGACTGGAGTGCAATGACACAATCATAGCTCACTGCAGCTTCGAACTCCTAGGCTCAAGTGATCCTCCTCTTTTGGCCTCCCAAGTAGCTGGGACTATAGTCACGCACCATCACGCTCGGCTAATTAAAACAATTTTTTTAGTAGAGACGGGGTCACATTATGTTGCCCAGGCTGGTCTTGAACTCCTGAGCTCAAGCCATCCTCCTGCCTCAGCCTGCCAAGATGCTGGGATTACAGGCTCAAGCCACCACACCTGGCAACGTATTTATTATCTTGTAGTCACAAATAGGACTGTGTTCCTTCTGAAGCCTCCTGGGGAGAACCCGATTTTTGCCTTTTCTACCTCGGAGGATTCAGAGGTTGGAGTGATGAGGACCACGAAGCAGGGAATGAGGCACCGACACTCCTTGTGGACCACGAGGTCCCCACATTCCTTGGTTCGTGGTCCACATCACTCCAACCTCTGAATCCAACCTCTCTGACTCCTCCGCTTCCATCCTTTTTTTTTGGGGGGGGGGGCGTGGGGGACAGGGTCTCACTCTGTCACCTAGGCTGGAGTGCAGTGGCACAATCTCGGCTCACTGCAACCTCTGCCTTCTGGGTTCAAGCGATTCTCCTGCCTCAGCCTCCCGAGTACCTGGGATTATAGGCACCCGCCACCATGCCTGGCTAATTTTTGTATTTTTCTGGAAGAGATGGGGTTTCACTATGTTGGCCAGGCTAGTCTTGAGCTGGTGAGCTCAAGTGATCCGTCTGCCTCAGCCTCCCAAAGTGCTGAGATTATAGGCGTAAGCCACTGTGACTGGCCCCGTTGACAATTTTAAAAGAAGAGATGAAGAGAGGGAAAATATGTAAGTATTCTTTATAGGTACACACTGCTTTTAAGTAAGAATGATTTTAGCCCCAAATCGAAGGACATGAATTTGCATATAGATATTTATTTGAGCCCCACTATGTACAGGGTGTGATGTACATCAGTAAAGCTTCATGCAGAGTAAGGGGAGAGATATACATATTAAGCTTAAATTCAAGAAAAGTGGAAATTTATGTTCAACTGTATTATGGTACAACAGTCCTCATTTTAGAAAATAGAGCACTGTATTAATTTCATTATTTTTTAAAGCCCAAGTACTGGTTTGCTCCAAAGAATAAAAATAAAAACAAACCAAAAAAAAACCTTAGAGAAATTCAAGTGAAACCCAAAAATGACTTCCTAGAGCTTTAAGACCTGATTTTTAAACTAAAAATTAAGTGAATGAATTTCAGGAAAGGTTAGTTTTGTTGCAATTTAAATAGTGGCCTAGAAGATGATATCTTGGGAATATCATGAAGCAAAATAACAAAGAAATGCAAATAAAATCATTCCAGAAACAGAAGCCAAAAGTAAGCAAGTAATACAGGAAAATGTTCTTCAGCACAGAAGAGAACAGAATCTGCAGGTTGAAAGAACTCCCGAACTCCAAGCTGGAAGGATAAGGAAAAGCACACACCAAGGTGCATCCCAGCAACATTAACAAACTCCAAGGATTAAGAGAATATCTGGCCTACTTCTGGGCAGAAAGAACATAACTCTAGTGGAAAAGTCAGGCTGGTGTCGTACTTCTTGGCAACACTGCCAGCAAGGAAACAGAGAACAGAGGGCTCCGACTCACAGACCCCAAGCCTGACAAGGTATTGATCATCTGCCAGATTGAGGACTGGGGGAACATTTTGTTTTGATTGGCCTGACGTGGTAGCTCAGGGCTTTGTAATCGGACTAGCTAGGGTTTGCATCCAGGTCAGCAATGTGACTTTAGATAGGCTTCTTCTCCTCTCTGAGTCTCAGTTTCCTCCTCTGTAAAATGGGATAATAACAGTATTCATCTCCTAGGGCTGTTGTGCGGATTAAATCAGAGTGTGCATTAAGACACATTTGATCACAGTGGCTCACACCTGTAATTCCAACACTGTGGGAGGCTGAGGCAGGTGGATCACTTGAGCCCAGGAGTTGGAGACCAGGCTGGGCAACATGGTGAAACCCTGTCTCTACAAAAAATACAAAGATTATCTGGGTGTGGTGGTGCACACCTGTATTCCCAGCTACTTGAGAGGCTGAAGTGGGAGAATCACTTGAGCCAGGGAGGTTGAGGCTGCAGTCATGCAGTCAGCTGTGTTCACTCCATTGCATTCCAGCCTGGGTGATGGAGCTAGATAGATCCTGTCTCAAAAAAAAAAAAAAAGATAAATGAATAAACAGGCAAAAAATGAATCTGAACTGTGAGAAGTCAGGATAGAGGAGGGTAGTGACAAGGAGGGAACATTAGGAGTGGGATTGCCAAGTTTAGCCAAAAAAAAAAAAAATTGCAGAACATCCAGTGACAGCAGAATTTAAGATAAGTTGGAATTACCTCTTGGAAGAACTGGGAATGTTGTGGATCCTGATCCGGGTGTGTCACGGGCTGCACATTTATGATCTGTGCACTTGTCTCTGTGCATGCTACACACCCATAAAAAATTAAATTAATATAATGTGAGCAAGCACATTTTTACTATAAAACAGTTGAATGTGTTATGGAAGATATCGACTAAAATGTCCCCTTTCTATCATGACAACCAAATCCTCTCCAAAAGGAACAGGGTTTGCAGTTTCGTGTGAAGCCTTTCAGATGCTACTTTTTATTCTTTGCTTTTAAAATTGAGATGGCAAAGTGCATGTGTCCTAAGTGTCCAGTGAGATGAGTTTCTACACAGGTGCACACTGTGTAACCACCACCCGAGGCAGGACGCAGAACATTTCAGCCCCAGAGCTTTTCCTAGTGTCCCTTCCCAGCCAACCCTCCTGAAAGTCAGCACCTCTTGGCCTCTAGCCCCGTAGATTAGTTTTGCCATTCCAGAACTTCAGCAGATTCCTTCCAGACATTTTAAAAATAAAAATTGTATTTAAGAATTTATTTTAAAAGTGGCAGAGTTCTCCTTTCCCCTGGCCCAGTTTCCCTGATGTTAACACAGGTTACATGACCCTAATACATCGGTTACAACAAAGAAACTGATATTGATGCATTACTATTGACCAAACTTCCTGGCTTGATTTGGATTTCACCAGCCTTTCCACTATGGTCGTTTTGCTGTTCCAAGATCTAATCCAGGATATCACATTGCATTTAGCCTTCCCAACTCTCTGTCTCTCTCTTTCTGTCTGACACACACACACAGAGACACACACAGACACACACACACACAAATATTACTTTTTTTCACAATAATGATGTCATACCATGCAAACAGAGATACACATTTTCACGTTAATGGTATCATAACTCATACACATGCACATACCCGCCCCAGCCACCTGAATTTTCCCACTCTATGGTGGCCTTGGAGACCTCCTTTGCAGTCCCTACCTCACTGATGGAGGCTGGCGTGGTCTTCCCTCAAGCTGAGCCAGGCCGTGCAGCTGGCACATTTAATACACGCCCAAAGCACCAGAGGTGCCAATGACAACAAAAACCCAACAAACTTTTTTTGGGGGAAAGGAGATATATATATACTTTTTATTTTTTTTTGATACAGAGTCTTGCTCTGTCGCCCAGGCTGGAGTGCAGTGGTGTGATCTCGGCTCACTGCAACCTCCGCCTCCCAGGTTCAAGTGATTCTCGTGCCTCAGCCTCCTGAGTAGCTCTGATTACAGACGTGTGCCACCACGCCTGGCTAATTTGTGTACTTTCAGTAGAGATGGGGTTTCACCATGTTGGCCAGGCTGGTCTTGAACTCCTGACATCAGGTGATCCACCTGCCTCAGCCTCCCAAAGTGTTGGGATTACAGGCGTCAGCCACCGTGCCCGGCCAATTAATGTTTGTTTGTTTTTAAGTCAAAATAGCCACCATGGGGAAAAACTCCGAACATGCCAGGATGTTCTCACGCTAGCTGGACTATTAAGTACTGTTTTTATCTTTCGTTTGCTGTCAGGTGGTGACAGCCAGCATCTTTTCAGTCTTTGGGGCTTTTAAAGATTTCAATCCAGCCCTGCTGGAGGCATATTTTAATTCGTTTCTTCTGCAGGGGCTTTTTGCACTTTAGCTCCTGGAATTCAAGTCTTAAGCCATTACATCCCATATTGTAAGGGAGAAAGGGAAAGGCTTCTCTACATGTTTGTCTTATAAAACTCTTCAGCGGATCACATAAGTATGCATGCTAATATCAGTAGCTTACAGAGTTAATCTAGTAATGTATTAATATTTAGGACAGAGCCTGGCACAGGAAAGTGTCACATAAGTGCCCACCATGATCTCCAATGGAAGCAAGTAGCACAGCGGGTTAACTTGCCTTGGGGTGTAAGGCCCCTTTAAAGAGGGCGGTGAAGTCAGCCACCTCTTGATAGAACAAAGGCATACCAGGCCCTGCCAGCCCAAAGCCGGGTGGCTGATGGCTTTTGTCACCAAGTGATAGCCTATCTCCTCGTGTCAGGGCCCCCAGGCGTCAGTGAGAGCCACCAAGTGGGGAGGGTGGCTTCTCTTGGGAGTCAGATTCAGGTGGACCAGGCCTGTGCCCAGCAAAGATGGGTGAGCCACATAACGGGGCACCCCCTGTGTACACAGCACCACTGGGACAAGCAGCATCAGCTCCCCGTGCCTCAGTTTCCTCATATGTGAAATGGGAACATGTAATAGAGGTCCTTCAAAAAGTTATCATGAGGTTTAAATGAGTTAATTACTGCTTCTAAAGTTCTAGAATACTGCTGGGCATGGTGATGTTCAGTGAATGCCAGCTCTTATTCCAGAGAACTGGCTAGGCACCCATGTCAGTGGAAATGGAGGTAAAAGAAATAACGTGTTCCAGCTGGGCGTGGTGGCTCACGCCTGTAATCCCAGCACTTTGGGAGGCCAAGGCGGGCAGATCATGAGGTCAAGAGATCGAGACCATCCTAGCCAACATGGTGAAATCCCATCTCTGCTAAAAATACAAAAATTAGCTGGGCATGGTGGTGCGCACCTGTAGTCCCAGCTACTCGGGAGGCTGAGGCAGGAGAATCACTTGAACTTGGGAGGCGGAGGTTGCAGTGAGCTGAGATTGCACCACCGCACTCCAGCCTGGCGACAGAGCGAGAGTCCGTCTCAAAAAAGAAAAGAAAAGAAAAGAAATAACATGTTCCAATGAAAAGAAAAGAAATAACATGTTCCAATATGAATTCATTTTCTCTCCTCTTCCTCTCCCAAATCCTTTTCCTGTTAATGACTTCACCTCTCTCTTAGGTTCCCAGACCAAAATCCTCAGCCATTTTGATTCTGCCCTACTAGTGACAAAATCTATCTATTCTTCCTCTAAAATGTCTTGCAAATCCATTTCCTCAAGTCCAGCCCCAGCTGTGGCCTAAGGTAGTAGGCCCCAACTGGTTTTGGGCCTCCTCTCTCTTGTCTTTATATCTTGCCCTTCACACACTCTGAGTCCAACTCCTTTCCCCCATACCCCATTCTGATGATGACTTGTACATGCTCTAGAACCCTCAGTGGTTCCCCACTACCTCAGGAGGAAATCTCCCCTCCTTAGCCTGACAGCTAAGATCTTTTATCACTTGACCCTGTCCTACCAGAATGGTGTTATGATTGTAAGCTGGGTTCCAGGTCAGCTCCTCCACTTCCTTGACTGTGGGGCCCCTGGACAGGTGACTTAACCACCCTAAACCTCAGAGTCTTCACTTGATAAATGGAGAAAACTATCATGCTAGCTTTGGAAGAGTGTCGTTCAAGTGAAACTAGATAATTGTGATACTAACGATAGCAGCTAACATTTATTGTGTGTTTATTCTGTTCCAAGCACCATCCACATGGTTACTCATGCAATGAGTGTAAATGGCTTTGCACAGCGCCAGGCATGGAGAGTACAGGCACTGTGCGTGAGAGAGTGTATGTGTGTGAGTGTATGAGTGTGTGTGACTGCGTGAGAGAGTGTATGTGTGTGAGTGTATGAGTGTGTGTGACTGCGTGAGTGTGTGTATGAGTGTGTGTGACTGTGACTGTGTGTTTGTGAGTGTGTGTGACAGGTGTGTATGTGACTGTGTGAGTGTGTGAGTGTATGTGTGTGTAAGTGTATGTGTGTGACGTGTGTGTATGTGTGCCACGTGTCTGTGTATGTGAGTGTGTGAGTGTGTATATGTGAGTGTGTTAAAATGTGTGAGTGTGTGTGAGTGTGTATAAGCGTGTGTGTGATTGTGAGAGTGTGTGTGTGAGTGAATGTGTGAGAGAGTGTGTATGTGAGAGTGTGAGTGTGTGAGTGGGTGTGTGTATGAGTGTGTGTGGTTATTACTGGTTGTCTTCCCAGCCTCATTTCCTACTCCGGCCCCCACCTCACCCTCCAGCCCGTTATTCAGTGCTCTTAGGGACAGCTGCTCTGAGCTGGCGGAGTAGAAGCTATCATGTATTGAGTGCTCCAGTGGACTGGGGGAGGCAGGCCTGCCCGCCATGGCCACCACCCAGCCACTGCATAGCTTGCCAAACTGAAGTCCCAAAAGAAATCAAATCGCCATCATCCCCCTTCCCTAGAGCTCCTTGCATGTCACGCACTGAGCCATATGCTTTACTCACCGTCGGATATAATCCTCACAACACTATGAGGAAGGTACTAATATTAGACCCATTTTCCAGATGAGGAAACTGACGCTCAGGGAGGAGTAGTCACTCCCCAAGGCCCTACTGCTAGCATCTGGTAGCGCTGGGCTTCGAACTCAGATTGTCGGACTCCTCTGTACACACTTTTCCTCCCCATGGTATTCTGGTTTCAAAGCCGGGGGATCCGGCCCCACCTCTCACTACCCTCCAGGATCCCAGAGCTCGGATCCAGCCTCAACGACCCAGATAGCCCTGCAGTGGCTTTCTTGTCCCTGGTATTTTTAGCCCTCGGTCATCTATCTTGCCTGCACTGGGGACAGCGGCACTCAGACAAGCCCATTTTTACTGGTGCCCTTCAGATGCCCGCGGGCTCAGCTGTCTCGGTGCCTGGCATTCCGGGGGTATTGTTCCTCTCTACGAGTCCCAGATTCCAGCAACAGCTGCTGCCCCAGGCTCCCCCGCCAGCTTCCCCCTGCGCTCCCCCTGCCCGCCTGCCAGAGCCCCCTTGCTGAAGAACGTGGCACAGTGACAGCCGAACCTGGTCCCGCATGCCTGGGCCCAGAGCTATATAAAGGCCACACTCCTGGCTCATTAGTCATCCGACCTGAGGTTGTCGGGTGAAGGACCTTTCAACGAGTCTTCAGGGGACACCCAGCTCTGCAGGCCCAGGCCCTTGCTCCTCCCCAGCACAGATGCAGGCGTCTGCGGGGCTTCCATTCTGGAGCAGCACTCTCATCCTGGGCTCTATGGATGTGAGGGGCTGGATAATTCTTTGTTACGGCAGTGGAGGGTGTCCCGTGCATTACGGTATGATCAGCCGCATCCTTGGTCTCCACCCACTAGCAGCCATTAGCAAACCCCCCTCCCAAATTGTGATATCCAAAAATGTCCTCAACATTGCTCACTGCCCTGAGGGGCATACATTATCCCAATTTCAGCACCATCGACATACAGAGCAATTCCTAGGAAGGGAGAGACAGGTTTTCTGCTCGTAGAGTTTGAGGATGGTTTAGGGCTGCCCGAGTCCACCGACCTCCTGAGGTCTCCTGGCTGGGGACTTTGGGGAAGAAGGGACATTGGAGTTGGGTCTGGGCTAGAATGTCACCTCTGCTGCTTGCTGACCGGATGAAACAGGTCCAGTGGCTTTTTCCGGTTCCATCTCCATTTCCATTTTTTTATCTGCAAAATGTGTTGGTTCAGAACACTGACCTCATGGCGGCGCTGTGAGGCTGGCTCGAGATAATTTTGAGCAAAACCCTTCGTTCTTCATAAATTCTGTTCCCGGGGGGCTAATCTGTGCGTGTTCTCAGATGAAAAGTCAGGATTTTTCCTCTCACTGTTGGGGAAAAGGACAACCCTAAGATCACTGAGTCCCAAATAGTCTTTTTTTTTTCTTTTTTGAGACAAGGTCTTGCTCTGTCATCCAGGCTGGAGCCTCAGCTCACTGTAACCTCTGCCTCCTGGGCTCAAGCAATCTTCCACCTAAGCCTTCCAAGTAGCTGGGACTACAGGTGTGCACCACAACACTCAGCTAATTTTTGTATTTTTTTTTTTTGAGATGGGGTCTTGCTATGTTGCCCAGGATGGTCTCCTGAGCTCTTCTGGGCTCAAGTGATCCACCCGCCTCAGCCTCCCAAAGTGCTGGGATTACAGGCGTGAGCCACCACACCCTGCCCCAAATACAGTCTTAATTCAGTGTGTAGAATGTGCAGCCCCAAGCGGTCATCATAATTCAGAACTCCTCCCTAGAGTTCATGTCTAGTCTCCAGGCCTGTGGTGAGCACACAGCCACCCAAGGCCACACCCGCACACCCGCTCTCCTGGTCTCTGCTTCCGCCTTTGCCACCCGGCAGCCCGAGGGACATTAAAGAAAAACAACAACAACACCCAGCTCGGTCATCACCACCCAAATTTTTTTTTTTTTTGGATGGAGTCTTGCTCTGTAGCCCAGGCTGGAGTGTAGTGGAACCAACTTGGCTCACTGCAACTCCTGCCTCCCAGGTTCAAGCGATTCTGCTGCCTCAGCCTCCTGAGTAGCTGGGATTATAGGTGCCCACCACCTCGCCCGGCTAATTTTTGTATTTTTATTAGAGACGGGATTTCACCATGTTGGCCAGGCTGGTCTCGAACTCCTGACCTCAGGTGATCCACCTGCCTTGGCCTCCCAAAGTGCTGGGATTACAGGCGTGAACCACCACACCCAAACACCCGCATGTTTAAATGGCTGCCCATTCTCCTAGGATGCAGACCTTTCCATCTGCCTGGACCCCCCGCCCTGCCCCGCCATCCCCTCTTTGTCTGGATGGAGATCTCTCACCTTTGGCACTGCTGACATCGGGGCCAGGTCATTCTTTGCTGTGGGGCTGTCCTGTGTCTTGGAAGATGTTGAACAGCATCCCTGGCCTCTACCCACCAGATGCCACCCAGTCATGACAACCAAAGATGTCTCCAGACATTGCCATGTGGCCCCTGGGAGTTGGGGCAAAACTGTTCTCCCCGAACTTCCAGACTAGGCCCTCCCAGCACTGCGTTCCTTTCTCCCTCCCAGTGTTGAACCACAGCTGCATTCTACTTTTTTTTGTCTGATTAGCTGATGAACACCCAACTTTCTGCTCAGACCATAACTCTACGGGACAGGCACCATGTCTATCTTGCCCACCGCTGCTTCTCCCGCACCCAGTACGGCACTGGCACATAGCGGGCACTGCGTCAGCCCTTGTCGAATGACTGCTCTCTTGTGGCACTTTCTGCATTCTGCTTCATTGTTTGTTAGTCTGTTTCTTCCACTAGAATCTTCTGGGCCAGGGGCCAGGATTCATGCATCTCTGCGGTGCCCTCGGTCCTGGCACATAGTAGGTGATCATGATAGATTTGTTCCGTGGGACTGAATTCAACTGAGACCAAAGACGATCCTGGAGTAAGTCCAGGACACATGCCAGAAGGGCCTGAACAACTCTCTGTGCTGTGTCTCCAGGGCTGAAGGCATTGATCCTTGCACACCCACCTTGCTTGCCCAAGCCTCTCTGGGCCAGCTAGGTCCCCTCTGGCTAAGAGAGAATGGGGGTGTCAGGCCTCAGGAGAATTTTTTTGAGGTGAGTGTGAACTTTACTCTTTATCCCCTGTCTCCAACCATGTCACAGAGGTCAGGGCTTCAGCTCATCTTCCCTGCCAACTCCACTCAGTAAGAAAGAGTGCTGTGATTGATTAGCAATGTCTGCCATGGACTGAGTGAAGGAAGGGTGACATGTATGCCATTGCCACATGCTATGTATTTGCTATTCCTCCTTCGTAGGTGTCCTCTGAGACAGAAAGAAAGTTCTAGGGCCATGCATGGTGAAGAGAATAGGAGAGACTTTTGGGGTTGGGACATACAGTGAAACAGTTTCATTTCCCCCAGGAAAAGCCAGCCAGAAAAAGTTAGGCTGGCCCTGTTCTCTTGGGTGACTTTGGACAAGGGAACAGGAGCCCAAGGGATTAAGGGGGAGGGTGTGCTAATACCTCTGTATCCTCACAGGGGGCCAGGGCATTTCACAAAGGACAAAAATAGATGAGAGAGAAGAAAGACAAAGAGGGATGGCTCATGGAATCCTCTCTGGAATGAAGGTGTGTGGCCAGCAAGGGCCTCGGAGGTGAGTCATGGTTTTACAAAGGGAACAGGCCCCAGGGAGGGGTATGGGCTGCCTGGTGCAATGCCCAGACACTGTCCTCAAGGTGAACCAGAGAATATTTAGACAAATGGAGAAAACCAGGATGATTTTAATTCGGAACAGAGAACTGGGACCCTGGATCAGTGAGGAATGTTCTGGGATGCAGGTGATGGAAATCCATTAGCAGCAGCTTAAACAAACGGGGGGTTCGTTTTCTCTCAAGAAGTTGGAGAACAGACAGTTCCACGGTTGTTCAGTAGCTGGACATGATTGGGGACCCCAGAGTTGTCTCTGTGACTCTGTGGGGGTTCCCTCTTGTGGTCCCAAGATGGTGGCAGCAGAGCCAAGTGTCCTGTCCTCACGACACTACGTTCAAAGCAGAAGCTGGGGCGGGGGTGGTGGCAGTGGGGGTGGGGTCAGGTGCAAATGTTTCTTTACTTCTTATGGAGGACAATATCTTCATGGGGAAGCCCCTAGGAGACTTTTCATACATCTCACTGGCCAGAACAAGGTAAGGCGCCCACATCTAGACCAAGTCTGACCTACCTGCTTTGACATCCAAGGTTCTTTGGCCTAATCCTGAACATAACCAGAGTTCTATTAGCAAGAAAAAAGACAGCAAATGGACTTGGGGTAGGCAATGAATAATGTCTGCTCCACCCACACCCCCAGTAACTGAAGTAATATTTCCCCAATATATATGGTACAGCACACAATATCCTGCAACAAAATGGTTCTATAGGCTGGGCGTGGTGGCTCACGCCTGTAATCCCAGCACTTTGGGAGGCAGAAGTGGGCGAATCATTTGAGGTCAGGAGTTCGAAACCAGCCTGCCCAACATGGTGAAACTCTGTCTCTACTAAAAATACAAAAATTAGCTGGGTGTGGTGGCGCATGCCTGTCATCCCAGCTACTTGGGAGGCTGAGGCAGAAGAAGCTCTTGAACCTGAGAGGCGGAGGTTGCAGTGAACTGAGATGATGCCATTGCACTCCAGCCTGCGCGACAGAGTGAGTCTCTGTCTAAAAAAAAAAAAAAAATTTTCTGTAGCCAACAAGAGAGTCTAGTTCAACAGGTTCCCCAGTTGCAGATCTTCTCAGAGCCTTTAAACAATGATGACTACTTATTGACTATTTGCCAGCTGCTGTGTCCATAGCTACATCTCTATTATCTCATTAAATCCTTATAATAACTCTAAGGGACAGAGGAAATAGAAACTAAGGAAGGGGGCAGAGCCAGGAATTGAACCCAGGACTCTGATTCTAGACTCCTATGCTGTCCTTTTACTACAGAGCAAACATCTACTAAAAGGGACAAGTTATTCTTCTCTGGGGGATACTGAATTAAGACTGAAAGCCTGGAAACTTCCAGCTTCTCTCTTGCTATTCCTTTCTCCCCGTAGATTGCCCCTGGCTCCTGGGAGAGGAATTCAGATTAAATCTCATGTCTTCGGTGTGGATTCCCAAAATTGAAGTCTGCTCTTTTTAAAATTTTTTTGGTAACACCTTGTTTTTCTCTTTCAGGGCACTTACCTTAGTTTTTAGTCAGGTATTTTCATTTATTTGTGCGTTAGGGACTTGTCTCTTTTACTGTAATATCGGCTCCATAAAGGCTGAGGTTTTTGTCTGTCTGTTTTGCTGCTGTAGCCCCAGCACCAAGAACCGTGGCTGGCACACAGTAAATTCACAGTAAAAATGTCGAGTCAATGAACAATCTTGACTTGGCTAATTGATAGGGTTTGGCTGTGTCCCCACCCAAATTTCATCTCCAATTGTATTCCCCACTTGTCGGGGGAAGGGCCTGGTGGGAGGTGATTGTATCATGGGGGCGGAGCTCCCCCTCCCCCTTGCTATTCTCGTGATAGAGCTCTCCTCACTTCTCTCTCTGTCTCTCCTGCCACCATGTGAAGAAGGTGCTTGTTTCCCCTTTGCCTTCCGCCATGAGTGTAAGTTTCCTGAGGTCTCCCAGTCATACTGCTGGTTAAGCCTGCAGAACGGTGAGTCCATAAAACCTCTTTTCTTCATAAATTACCCAGTCTCAGGTAGTTCTTTATAGCAGTGTGAGAATGGACTAATACACTAATACATTTCCTCTTTCTGAAACTGCATGTGCACATTTGTTAAAAAGGCTGGGTAAAAACTTGTTTTGAAATTCTGGTTTTGTGGGGTGGGTTTGATAAAAGGATACATGCTCACCACAAAACCTGCGAGGAAACCTAGGGAAACCAGAAATTCCAAAAAGAGATCCCTGGGAGTTGGCCTTGAATTGCACCTGGCTTCCATCACGGTCAGCCTTGGCCTCAACAGGAGAAACCCATTCATTGCGAGACGCGGACTCTGCTTGAATCCGGGTCCTGCAGCTGAGAGAATGGGCTGCATTTTTTTTCTCGGCTCCTCTTCCTTTCTGAAAAGGCCTCCCGCAGATCCATCTGGCTGCCTCACCCCCGATGACCTTTCCATCCTGTTCCTTTCCAAATTCCCAGGTGTACTTGTTTGAAATGTATCTGGCCCAATCGCTGAGCGTCCGCGCTGCATTTCTCCAAACTGCCCAGCAGGGGGCGGTGCTACCTCGGCTCCGCGCAGCCACGGCTTCCCGCTGGCGAACCAAGGGCGCGGAATCTGGAGAGGGCGAGGAACATCTTTCCTCCCACCTGTCCCCCGCCAAGCCTGCCAGACCCGTCTCATCCGTGCTGCTGCTTCTGAAAATCAGAAGAGTGAGGATGAAATAAAGTCTTCATAAAGGAAAACCATTTGCTTGTTTAGATTTCATTCATTCACTACTCAAATATTTACTGAGCTCCTACTGTGTGCCAAGCCTTGTTCTAAGCCCTGGGAGTCAACAGGGAACAAAACAGACACAAATTCCAATTCCTGCCTTCCTGGAGCAGTCCTTCCTGCTGGGGGCCGGTGGGCAGGAGGTCTTAGATGACAAACGTAATAAATAAGCAAACGACCTAGGAGGTTAGAAGTTGATACCTTCTATGGAGTAAAATAGGAAAATAGAACAAGGTAAGAGGGAAGAGAGACAGAGACAAAAAGGAAGAAAGAGAGAGATAAACACGATTTTTTTTTTTTTTTTTTTTTTTTTGAGACGGAGTTTCAGTCTGTCACCAGGCTGGAGTGCAGTGGTGCGATCTCGGCTCACTGCAACCTCTGCCTCCCAGGTTCAAGTGATTCTCCTGCCTCAGCCTCCCGAGTAGCTGGGTCTATAGGTGCGCGCCGCCACGCCCAGCTAATTTTTGTATTTTTAGTAGAGACGGGGTTTCACCATGTTGACCAGGACGGTCTCGTCTCTTGACCTTGTGATCCGCCCGCCTTGGCCTCCCAAAGTGCTGGGATTAGAGGCGTGAGCCACGGTACTCGGCTAATTTTTTTTTTTTTTTAATATACTTTATTGAGACAGAGTCTCTCTCTGTCACCCAGGCTGGAGTGCAGTGGCACCATCATAGCTCACTGCCGCCTGGAACTCCTGGGCTCAAGCGATCCTCTCACCTTAGCCTTCGAGTAGCTGGGACCACAGATGTGTGCCACCATGCCCAGGTATTTAAAAAAAACTTTTTTAAAATAATGTCTCATTTTGTTGCCCAGGCTGGTCTTGAACTCCCAGCCTCAAGCCATCCTCCCGCCTTGGCCTTTCAAAGTGCTGGATTACAAGCGTGAGCCACCGTGCACAGCCAAGACACAATTTTAAATCGAGCGGTCAGGAAGCCTCCTGGAGAAAATGACGTTTGAACAAAGACATGAAGAAAGTGGAGAATATTTGGAGAAAAGCATTTCAGGCAGAGGAAAGTGCCAGGGCAGAGGCCCCGAGGTGAGACTGTGCTAGCATGTTATTTAGTTTTTAGTTTTAAAAAGTGCAAAATAATATCCATTTACTGTGGGAAAATTAGACATTAAAAAAATCACTTCCTGTCCCTCTACCCAGAAATAACTGGTAACATGGTGGTGTATATTTTTGTGTTCTATTTTTAAGCATACACACATACATACGTGTGTGTGTATATTATATGTATTTTTTTTACAAAAATTGGGGTCATACCATCATACGGTTTCATAACCACTTATTTGCCTAATAATATAACAAGGCAATCATTCCATGTCAATAAATATTGATCCACATCATTACTGAAACGGTTGTAGAATGTTCCATCTCACAGATGTTCGGGATTTATTCAACCATTCCCCCACTAATGGGCATTTAGGTGATCTTCCCAATTATAAATAGCGATGCAGCCACCATTCTTGTAAAATTTCTACACTGTCTGAGTATCCAATTATTTCCTTCGGATGTGCTTCTAGAGTGGGAATGTTGGAGCAAAGGTTGTGCACTTTGCTCAACAGTCTGTGAGGCCTGCGTGTTTCTCAAGAGGGTTTGGGAGGGTTTCAGGGGGACCCTATAGCAGCCTGAGAATGTTTCATTTGGCAGGAAATCACCTTTTCTGAAGAGAAATGAGTACCCTACCACATTGCCAGGGCTTGCCTCTGTAGGGCTGGTCGTTTGGGTAATTTTAATTTTCTTCTTTATTCATTTCTATATTGTATTTTCGGTATTGGACATGCATTGCTTTTTGTATTAATTTTTCTAATGAAAGCAATTTTTCTTGTTATAAAAACCAAACACAAGAGAAGTACGTACAGTAGAAAGAAAAGGCCCACATCTCCCCAGAAGTTGCCCGGGTTCATTTTGTGTGTTCACCTGCTAGACATGGTTCAGCTCCTGCATAAGTTTTGTTATGGGAATTTTCCCTCAGTAGGAAGAAAATACTGTCATAAAAATAAAAAAATTTAAATAAAATTAGTATCATGTTACACGTTAAAAAAACCTCCAAAAGGGTTCGTTTAAAACATGATTTCTATTCCTTGCTTTCTTCTTTTTTAAAAAAAAATTATTAATTTTTGATTCTTTTGTAGAGAGAGGGTCTTGCCATTTTGATCAGGCTGGTCTCAAACTCTTGGGCTCAAGCGATCCCCCAGCCCTGGCCTCCCAAAGTGTTGGGATTACAGGCATGAGCCACTGTGCCTGGCCCTTGCTTTCTTCTCTTAACAAGACAGTTGTCCCTTGGCATAGGTGGAGGATTGGCTGCAGGACCCCTTCGTATACCAAAATCCTTGCATACTCAAGTCCCGCAGTCAGCTTGAAAAAAATCCATGTGTAAGTAGATCTGCATAGTTCAGACCTGTGTTGTTCAAGTGTCAACTGCCTATCTTAGAAATTGTTCCCTATAGGGGCACATGGGCTGCCTTGTTCTTTTTCTTTTTTTCTTTTTTTTCTTTTTTTTGAGACAGGGTCTTTCTCTGTCACTTAGGCTTGAGTGCAGTGCTATGATCATAACTCACTGCAGCCTCGACCTCCTGGGCTCAAGTGATTCTCCTGCCTCAGCCTCTGGAGTAGTGGGACCACAGGCACGTGCCGCCATGGTTAATTTTTTTATTTTTTTTTTACTGTTAGAGACAGGGTCTCACTATGTTGCTCAGGCTGGTCTTGAACTACTGGCCTCAAGTGATCCTCCCACCTTGGCCTCCCAAAGACCTGGATCACAGGCATGAGCCATCATGCCCAGCCTGCCTTGTTCTTTTTAATTGATGCAGCAATTTTCATTATGTAAAGGTCACATGAGTTATTTATTTGATCCCCTATGATGGATAGCTGGGTTGTTTTGCCATTAAAACAATGATACATGGAACATCTCCATGCTCTAGTCTATGATGAGAGCAGGACCGGGCTGAGCAGGGCTGAGAGGGCCCACAGCCTCCATCAGGCTCACCTCTCAGCTGCATGACTACAGTAGCTCAGCTAGCCTCTCAGAGCCTCAGTTTCCACATCTGCCAAATGGGTACAATCACAGTTCCCACTTCACGGTTTTGTGAAGATTAAGTGGCCAATGTTTATAAGTGTGTGGCACAGGACTTGCCACATCGTACATTCTCAGGACATTGTAACTAATATTTCTGGTGGGTATTTCCGTCATTTCATTTCCATGAGTGGCTAGCTTGAGAGAAGTCCAACTGTACCAATTTTACAGGTAAAGAAGTTGAAGAAAAAGGGTACACACAAGCCAGGTCACCTAACCCATAACCCATGCATGGCAAAGAACTTGCCCAGGGCTGCACCATGTTCCCCAGCCCACTAGCATCTCCCTTGGTGTCATTCCTTGCCTTGATGAAAGACCCCAGAGGGTCAGGATGGGAACTGAGACCTTGGGCCCATCCCTGACTGCTCTGAGCCACCCACTACTTTACCTTCAGAGGAGGGTTTCAGAAGAGCTGGCCTCTGCCCTTTCAGCCTGAGATCCCACCATGACTGACCCAAAACATCGCGTCCCCTAGAGTGTCAATGTCACATCCTCACTTGAGAACTCCCAGCTCTCCTGGGGGCTGGGGCGGGAGAGCATTGGGGCGGGGCCCCGCCGCCAGCCTCTGTTGCTTGGCTCTGTGGGTGCACGAATGACCTCATTGCCAGGAAAGCTGAGATGTGAGCCCCTGGCACCTGCAGGATAGCATCTGTCACTGCCTTGAGCTGAGCTCCTAGCAGATCTCAACACAGAAGGGATGCACAGGGTTGGTTCCTGGGGAGGTGGAGGTGGGAAAGACAGGCAGGGAATTTTCCTTATTAAAAATAGCTGCCTTTCTTTGAGCGCTTCCCATGTGGCAGGCGCTCGGTTAAGCCTTGGTGTAAATTATGCCTTTTAGTCCTCAGGCCAACCTTGAGAGATAGGCACCATTATTACCACCCTCGTTTCACAGATGAGCGCACTGAGGCTAAGTGAGGTGCTGGGACTTGCTCATGGTGAGGGGGGTGGTGGCCGTGGAATGTGCCACTCTCCCTTCAAGAAAGCACCTCTTTCCTCAAGGTGTTGGTGACAGCTCCCAGTGCCACATCTCCAGATTGACATGGTGTCCATTGACTGCTCCCAGCCAATGACTGGGCACAGCCGGGGTGGGAGAGCTGGGTCACGCCTGCCCAAGACGGGGACAGGCAACCCTTGCTCTGGGCTCCCCATCAGCCTGGGGACTTTCTCAGAGCTGTACTGCAATCTGAGGCTCCTCCTCCCATCTTTTGTCCTTATCATTCCCCTCTCCATTCCCAGGTGTCAGACCAGCATCAGGATCTGAAGGTGCTCCCTCCCCCCTCCTACTCTCTCCTCTTTATCCTTTTCATTTTCTTTTCTTTCCTTTCTTTCACTTTTTTTTTTTTTTGAGATGGTCTTACTCTGTCACCCAGGCTAGAGTTCAGTGGTGCGATCATAGCTCACTGCAGCCTTGACCTCCTGAGCTCAAGTGATCCTACCATCTCAGCCTCTTAAGTAGCTGGGACTATAGGCGTGTGCTACCATGCCTGGCTAATTTTAAAATTATTATTATTATTATTATTTTGTAGAGATGGGGTTTTGCCATGTTGCCCAGGCTGGTCTTGAACTCCTGGGCTCAAGTAATCTACCCGTCTTGGCCTCTTAAAGTGCTGGGATTACAGGTGTGAGTCACAGTGCCCGGCCCTTTCATTTTTTTAATTTTTTGTAGAGATGGGGTCTCACTATGTTGCCCGGGCTGGTCTTGAACTCCTGGGTTCAAGCATCCTCCCACCTTGGTCCCCCAAAGCACTGGAATTACAGGTGTGAGCCACCGTGCCTGGCTTCCCCTCCCCTTTATCCTTCCTAGGTATCTTCCTCAATAAATCTCTTGCAAGTTCACTTCCATCTTGGTGTCTGCTTCCCAGAGGGCTGACCTGGAACTCTGAGGGAACTAGAATTTGAATTCAAATCTTTCTGAGACCGTGGTCTGCACTCTTCATCACTGTGCTATTTGTTAAGCTTAAAGCAAAGGCCTAGGTTTGAGGACTCTCCAGAGAACCAAGAAATGGCCTAGTTAACAACAACTATTATCAAGGCTGTTTGTCTTCTGCCCTGGCTGAATCATGTAATGTCATAGGAAGAGTCCTCAGATTAGTGTAAACTTAAGCAAGTCACTTATCTTCTGGAAGCCTCAATTTCCCAGCTGTGAAAGGAAGATGGCAATGGTACCTCCCTTGAGGGTTGTTACAAAGATTAAATGAGCATAGAGAAGAATTGCAATAGAGAGAACAACAGTGCTGCCAGCAGTTGAAAGGGACACACCCCCTACACACACACACACACACACACCCCCCACAGCCTCTACACTTAGGGCCAAGCCCAGGCGTTGTGGACATGATGGAAACCCCAAGAGATCAGTTAGGATCATCTCTGCCTGTAAACCTCTGATAATCTAGCTTAAACATAATTTATTTCACAAAATAAAGAGTTGGGGGCAGGCAACTCAAAGCTACGCAAAGCATCAAGGAAGCTACCCAAGATACCAGTTTCTTCTAATTTCCTGCTTCATTTTCTTAGGATATGGGACTTCCTTGTGGACATAAAATGGCTGCTGCAGCTCCAGGCCACACATGCACCTTCCAGGTAGAAAGAACTCACTAGGAAAGGCAAGAAGAAAACTGTTCTCCCTTAACAAGAACCTCCCCAGTTTCAGCTTTCTTTGTGGGGTAGTGGAGAGGCAGCATTCAGAGAACCCAGAATCAGACTCTGCTTAGAGAAGGTTGGCTTCTGGGGACATCTTTTGATCATGTCTGCTCAATGTCACCATCTTAAGGCAGGAGGAAGCAACAGAAAACAGGGAAGCAGGTGTCCCAGGAGGAGCCCAATGCCATGGAAAGATGGGAAAAGAGGTGGTGGATGAGATCCTGGATTCTTATAAACTTTATCTACTCCACTTGCACAGATGATGGAGGATTTGAGGAGTGTCAGTGAATGCTCTGTGTGGACTGAACTTGGAGCAGACTGGGGCTGGAACTCTCCAGGGAGGGCAACTTTGACCGAGACATCTTAGGGTTTGCCAAGTCCTCAGCAGATGTTTTTTGATGTGCCTTGAGATCCTCAAATGAGAAGGGCAGTGGGATTCTTCCCTCTCCAGCCAGGACCACATCTGTGCTTTTCTGTAATTGTGTAAAAAAAAAAAAAAAAAAAAAAAGGTCTTCTAAAATTTTCTGATGGAATATATGCTCATAGCCCCGAAAAAGAAAAAAAAAGAAAGATGAGTGTAAGGAAGAAAAAAATTATCTGGAGTTCCACTACCCACAAATGAGCATGGTTAACATTTCTTCTAGACTTCTAATGTATTCAGACACATGCACTTTCCGCCCCCATACTGTACATATTTTCTCTTAATCTGCATCTTTTTCACTTAAAATATGTCATGCACACCTCGGCATGTCAATAAATATAGAAGAATGTCGTCCCTTTTAAAGTTTGCATAGTCCACGGTTGTGCCAGCATTTATTTACGAACCTCCTCTTACTGGGGGTTGTAGGTTGATTTAAACTTTTGTCTGATTATTAGCCATCCTCTATTGCTTGCCCTTGTATGTATTTCATCTGACTACTGTTTTATACTTAATTCCTAATAGTGTAATTGGGGGGTCATGGAACTTTTTAAAAAAAGATTTCATGCATAGAACCAAACTGCCTTCCAGAAAGATGCTAATTTACACGCTCAACAGCTATATATGATATTATCCCACACACCACTAAAACTGCTCACTAGAGAGATTGGATATATTTCCAAATTGGTTTTTAGCCATTTTTATTTCTCCTCCTCATCCTAATTCTTCTTATTTTGCATTGCATGTTTCTATCTTTGCTTATGTTTTTAAAAACTGGCAATATAAAGCCGTTATTTTTGCAAATATTTTTCCAGTGTTCTATTTGTCTTTGAATTATCTTGTTTATTGTGGTAAAATACACATAACATAAAATTTACCCTTTTAACCATTTTTAAGAGTCCAGTTCAGGCCGGGTGCGGTGGCTTATGCCTGTAATCCCAGCACTTTGGGAGGCTGAGGTGGGGTGGATCACTTGAGGTCAGGAGTTCGAGACCAGCCTGGCCAACATGGTGAAACCCTGTTTCCACTAAAAATACAAAAAAAAAAAAAAAAAAGCTGGGTGCGGTGGTGCATGCCTGTAATCGCAGCTACTTGGGAGGCTGAGGCAGGAGAATCTCTTGAACCTGGGAGTGGAGGTTGTAGTGATCTGAGATCACAACACTGCACTCCAGCCTGGGCGACAGAGTGAAACTCAAAAAAAAAAAGAGTCCAGTTCAGTGGCATTAAGTACATTGACACTGTTGTGCAACCATCACCACCATCCATCTCCAAAACTTTCATCACCAAAATTTGAAACTGTGCACCCATTAAACAGTAACTCTCCATTCTCCCTCCCCCAGCCCTTGGTAGCCCTTATTCTACTTT